>NC_000013.11:80853556-81006397 GCF_000001405.40 Homo sapiens
TACCAAGGAGCATGACTGCTGGATCCTATGGTACTAGTGTGTTCAGTTTTGTACGTAACTGCCAAATGATCTTCCTAAGTGGCTGTACCATTTTGCATTCCCACCAGCAGTGAATGAGAATGCTTATTGTTTCATATTCTCTCTAGCATTTGGTGTTTTTAACTTTCTTTAGTTTTAATGGGATATTTTAAATGATTTCATTTTTGTTCATCTCTTAGTGTCAGTCATTCTTCTTTTTAAATTTTTAAGTGGTTGCTCTAGTTTTAATTTACGTGCACAACTAATCTAACTCCACTCAGTGTAGTGCAGGTACTTTATAACAGTCTTTCCAATTTCTCCCTTCTCTCACTGAAAACACTTCCATCATTTATTTCATGTGTTAAAATCACCTAATACATTGTTACTATTTTTCTTTAAACAACGGTTTATTTATTCTATTAAGAAAAATAAACATGAAATATTTTAACTTTTTTTTTCATCTCTGATGTTCTTTCTTTCTATATATGGGTATACATTTCTGACCTGTATGTTTTTTCTTCCCCTGAATAACCTTTGTTTGATATTTCTTGTACAGGAGGTCTCCTGGTAGACAATTACCTTAGTTGTTCTTTTGAAAAGTCTTTATTTCTCTGTCACTTTTGTGGAATAGTTTTCCTGGATGCAAAATTGTAGGTTCATTTTTTTTTTCTTTCAATACCTTATATTACCTCACTCTCTTTTTGCTTGCATGGTTTCTTGTGAGAAACTGATGTCTATTTCTTATCCTTGCTCCTCTAACTAAAGTGCCCCTCATACCTCTGGCTCCTTTTAGGATTTTCAGTACTTTGAATATGATATACCCAAGTGTAGATCATTTGGGCATTTATTCTTCCTGGTGTTTGCAGAGTCCTGGATCTGTGTGGTATCGGTAATTAAATTTAGAAAAATTTCAGCCATTATTACCTCAAATGTTTCTTGTTCTTATTTCCCTCTTTCTTTTCCTCTTATACTCCCATACACATGTATTACAACTTTTATAATCGTCATGCTATATACTATTTTGTTTTTATTTCATTGTATTTTTTCTATTTGCATTTCAGTTTGGGAGGTTTTTATTGATATGTCTTTCAGCAAACGGATTCTTTATTCATCTATCTCCAGCCAATGCAGAGACCATCAAAAATATTCTTTATATTTCTCACATAATTTTTTATTTCTACCATCTCCTTTTCTTTCTCATTGTTTCTATCATTCTACTTAGACTGTCTATTCTTGCATACCGTCTAATATTTTATGAGAGATCTTAATGTATTAATTATAGTTACTTTAAATTTTTTATCTGATAGTTCACAAATGGTATCTTTCCTGATTCTGGTTTTGATGCTTACTTTGTCTCTATAGACTGTTATTATTTGCATTTTAGTATGACTTGTAAATTTTTGTTGAAAGTCAGGCATGGGAACTGAGAAAATTAGGCATTTTGTAACGTTTCATGTTAACCTGGCTAAAAGCTGAGCTGTGTTTCATGTGTAGTGTAGCCATAGGTGCCAGAGACTTTAGCTTCATTGTTGTTGCTGCTTTTTCTTCCCTGTTGTCTTTGAATTTCTTTAAGAATTCTTTCTTAAATAGAGTCTGTGTCTTACAATTCTCTCAATTGTTATCCACTGTTATTACACTGGTGCTCAATTATTGTCTCCAATGTCTTGATTCTGATAAGGTAATCTCAGCTCTATGTGTATTCACCTCTCCCTAAATGTGGAGTCAGTGAATTTCCTCCTAGGCCTATAAAAAGTCATTGATTTTGAGTTTGTTCATGTTTGCACTTATTGTGGGGATAGGAGTTATAAATTTCAAGCTGATTGAATGCAGAGCTGAAACTGTAAGCCTCCCCAATGAACATATTTTAGGTCAGCATAACTTGGATACCAAAACAGACTAGCATAATAAAGGAAGGAAATTTATAAGCCAGTCTGACCTACAAAATTGTGAAATATAACAAACTAATTATTGTTTTAAGCTATGAAGTTTTAAGATAGTTTGTTATGCAGCAAGAAACAACCAAAGTATTGCTGGGCATGGTGGCTTATGCCTGTAATCCCAGCACTTTGGGAGGCTAAGGCGGGTGGATCACTTGAGTTCAAGAGTTTGAGGCCAGCCTGGTCAACATGGTGAAAGTCTGTCTCTACTAAAAAAAGAAAAATTAGTTGAGCATAGTGGCATGTTCCTGTAATCCAAGCTACTCGGAAGGCTGAGGCAGGAGAATCGATTGAACCCAGGAGGAGGAGGTTACAGTGAGCCGAGATCGTGTCTTTGCACTACAGCCTGGGTGACAAGAGCAAAACCCCATCTCAAAAAAAAAAAAGAAAGAAAGAAAGAAAGAAACAACCAAAATTACTGGACACAAATCAATATAGAAAATCAATTGAGTTAAAATTTTCTTAACATTGATGATAAAAGACCTAATTGATGGAGAAATACATTGTTTTATTATCTATGAAAATGCAATGTTCTAATGATATTAATCTTCTCAACTTGAACTATAAAATTAATACAATCTCCATTAAAATACCTTCGGTTTTTGGTGGCAATTGCCTTGTCAATTCGTAGTGTTTATGGAATCATAATGTTTACGGAAGAAAAATAAGACTCACACCCACAAAAGCAGAATAATGTTTTGGGGCTTTTCTTACTTGACTGGGCAGAGGTGATGACTTTGTATCAGGCTTATATATAACAAGTAATTTACAGGATTGAAGAAGGAAGATCTAGGAAGGAGTTGGCAGAGTATATTTAAAAGAAATTGGTCTTGCGTGTTCAATTCAGCCAGTAAATTTTCCCTGCCACCCATGTGAGTGGATGAACTTCATCCCACCTTAATTGCTAGGAGAAACCTGAATTTCTACAATTTGTTTTCCAAAACTTCACATATACAAGGACTTTTTGACCACCAACTTACTGCAGTGAATACTCAAGGTCACTAAGAGGTAAAGATAGCTTTTATGGACAAGGAAGGAGAAAAACATTTTTAAAAAACGTTGGTCTTATGAAGTCACATTAATAGCACTTCCAAGCTTAAAGCAGAGATCTTAACTCCTGTCCCAATACCACAATGTTCTAATATCTTTATAGAAATCTTCATGTAGGAAACTGAGAAGAACCACCTTTCCCCTTTCCCAGTGTATTATTTACTCCCTTGTTTCCAAGATGAGGAACACAGTATATACTGCAAATAACACTGAATTAAGACAAGTTGGAGTAGTGGAAGGTGGCAAGCAGGTTGGTTCTTTCCTAAATTATTTTAGTATCGAGGATTTCTTTTTCCCATTAAATTGTATTAGTTCAGTTTTATAGAAATAAACTATTAAGATAATTGTTATGTTGTCAGAATTAAAGAATATACTAGAAGGAAAATGCATATACTATTTGTATTCAAAATTTTAAAGTTAGGCCACAACAACATAGAGAATCTGAATGGCCACATCTGAAAAATCCAACATTTAGAAATCATTTCAAAGGTAGTTGGCTGTTTGTAAAAGAAAGAAAGTAAGATTTGAACTATTCCTTTTTTAGTGTCAGACAGTTTTTGATGTACTGAAAGAAACTGGATGCAGTACGGTTTACATGGATTTCTCTGTATTTTACATGATTCTTGTTTATTATTTCTTTGTTGGTTTTAAATGAACTTCACCTATTTGTAGACATAGTTTTCAACTCTCCTCCTCCTGTTTTTTGGCAGATTACTATATTGACATTTGTGGAAACTTGCTTTCTTCACTGATATTTGTCAATTTATCACACATCAAGGGATTTTTTCAGCATGCAATGGTACTGTAATTGAATTCAGTACATATTACTAAAAACACTTTTAAATAATTTTAAGGACTATTTCATCATTTGGTGCTTGGATAATTTTGAAACTGAAAAACACTTGGCAAATGCATTCACATTTGTTAAAATTGACCCCAACCCCATACATCCTTAACCAAGACTGAATAAATATTCCAAGTGTCTTCATAGCAGGTCATGGGGTCATTCCAATTGGAAAATAAGAGTTCAGATGCTATTTCTTTACCTAAGCTAATTGCAAACAAATGTTCCTTTTGTCAGAAAAAAAAAAGAAAAAGAAAAAAATTAAGCCCAGTGGGAAAGCTCTTTCTATGTTTGGTGCTAGTTTTTGGTAGCCTAGGTCATCCAAAGATCTCATTTTTCCTTTTGGTTCTCCTCAGTCAGGATTGCCTGGGCATAAATTTTTACTCCTAATCCAGCTTCTATTGTTTAATTTATCTTAAGCATATGTAAAATTAGCATTCATTTTTGGGTGCTAGGGATCATAATGCTCCTTATTATAGAATTTCCCATATCTGTTGGCCAGGAAGAAATAAACAAAGCAGGCCCAGAGCTCAAATTGCTAGCCTGATAGGCTTCTAGAAGGACCAAAATAAGAATGCAAAAGTCAGAGTGAGGAAAATACCGAGTATACTAATGGAACTGCCCACACAGAAAAGAAGCCACTCTGAAAAAGTTGAGTTGAGCCCTTAAGCTGTGTAAGGAAAAAGGCTCAACGCACTAAAGAAGGAAAACCCAATAAATGCAAAGAACAAGCTGTTTTACTCTTCATTTCATACTTGCGTTACCAAATGCCTATTCTGAGCTTGCTTTCTGTTTGAAAGACCTTGAGGGTTCAAACACTTTATTAATTGGTCAAGTTAAATCACTTGCCCACTGCCTTTGCTGTAACACCCACATTCTCAGCATAACCATTGGCCACCTGTACTCAGCATGTTCTCACACATGGCCATTAACTCTGAAAACTAACGCAAGCCAAACAAAGCCTAAGGAATAAATGGGTTGCCATAAGAAAACAATTAAAAAGTCACCTGTTGTGAAAAGACATATTTAATCAAACCTGAGCAAAGAGACCACCCAAGATTAAACAGAAGTTTTTCTACAAGTCTAGTATTTACAATACAGGTGCATGTTTGTGAATGAGTGATTGTGATGAAAATATATTTACTTGATTTGTTTGAACACTCAGAATAAATGTTCCTGATGTAATAAAAATTTACTTAGTTTGTTTTTTATAATACTATGGATCTATTTTTTCTTCTTTAAAAACTAAAAGTAGCTTACATTTTACACACATCTGATAATTAATGACATTAATGAGTAAAATATCTGATTGCTAATTAGATAACCCATTGTATTCATTCAGATTTGTGGGTATAAATTATGCTAAAATTTGAAAGATGAATTCTTTATCTACCTAAAAATAAACAATCATCAAGATACCTATATGTAATTTCCAAATCTTCTAATTGGTTATTTCTTTCTTCAAGATAGGTTTCTTCAAGCAGTTTTTTAGATTTACAACATAGACATTTTAAACACGTTAGAAAAAATAAAATTATTGCATCGTGTTTTAAATTTCTGTTACTAAAATTTAAATTTCTAAAATTAATGGAGGAAAGCATCCATCATATGATTCTACAAGAAGGACTAAAATATTATTTGTGTTAAATGTTTTAGGAAGAAAATAATCACACATTTTCACTCATACATGAAAATTCACATTAAAAAACAGAAGGTGCATTTGTTACTAAAAGAAGAGTAGATTTCTCATGTTTAGAAGTTGTAGGAGTAAAACTGTATGATGAAAACGGTAAATCATAATTGCCTCTATCCCAATAATCTCATTGGTATCTATTTTTAAATACCTTTTCTTTGAACAAATATTATGCCAAATTTGAATGTTTCACTTGAAATTTATAGAAACACAACTGAAAAAATATTTAGACCTGAGTTTCTATGTCCGTAGGTAGGGATAAATATTCTTTTGTTTAGAGTCAAGATGGTATGCAAAGTGACTAAGGACTTAGACAGCCAGGATCAAAACCTGTCTACAACTTGAACTATGTGACTGAAGGCCAATTTCTTAAACTGTGTCACATTTTGTTTATCTGTAAAGTGGGCAAATATTAGCAACTACCTGATAGACTTGTGAAATTATATTATTTAATGTAAGTCTAGTTGCCTCCTTAGAGCAGTAGGCAGTGTGTCAGTCTCATAATGTAAGTAAAGTGCTGGCATACATCAAATACGATTTGTTTATTATCAATAATGTTGCTATTGTGTCATATTTCACAGGTTTCTGATGATTTCAGGAGATAAAATATGTAAAATCTTCTTGTTCATTTAAAAGAAGTTCCTTATATAATTCATAATTAAATATTAAAAATGTGTTTTTATTATTTTGAATTTGAATTGGTTTTTCAAAAGCAAAATATAGCTGTAAACATAATGCTTAATGAATTATATTATACCAACTAATAAATTTACTACAAAAGAAATAGCAAGAGATGACAAATATTTGTTTGTGATTTATAATGTCACAAAAATGAAAATAAATGCAACAGAATAAATGCTTTATAGTTCTACCTCTATTATAGAGCCTTTTTTGGCTACTAGGGTCTTTCTGTTATTTTCCTCCACTTTATGTATATAAGACATGTATGGGCATAGTAACATAGTATAGCTATTCTACAGAGCTTAAACTCAGTATGTCCAGAACTGCCTTCATAAATGTTCTTTCTTTCTTTCTTTTTTAAAGAGACAGAGTCTTGCTCTGTTGCTCATGCTGCAAGGCAGTGGTGTGATCATAGCTAACTATAACGTTGAATCCCTGGACTCTAGAGATCCTCTCACCTGCTCCTCCCACAGCACTGGGATTACAGGTGTGAACCGCAGAAACTTGCAGGCCTTAAACTTTCTTCTTTCAAGTATATCTACCCGGGCATTGTTTAGACTAGATTTACCTGCTTCTAAAAATTGATATTCTTCAACAATTACTATTGATTTTCTTGTGTATGCCAGAGAGATTTCATTCTTCAATTCTTCACATCTACTCAATTACATGTACCTATGAATTCTACCCCCTAAACAGCTCTTGAAAATTATCTGTTATTTTCTTCTTCATGCTTTGGTTCAGGCCTTCATTATCCTTTGTACTGAACTATTATAATAATCATAGTTTTGAACTTGTTTTCTCAATCGTTGTTCTTGGCCTCTTAAATCTGCTTTCCACTTTGTCCCTTCCGTTCCCGTCCTTCTCCTTCCCTTTTCTTCCATCACCTTCCCACACTCCTACAATAAGAAACTGCTTGCCCTTCTTGGGAAGTGCCAGTAGCTTCTAAGACTTCATGCTTTTGGATTGTTTTCTCTGCCTAGCATATAGTTAGTTAGTTATTTTTAGAGACAGGGGTCTTCCAAGCTGGAGTGCAGTGGCACCATCATGGCTCACTGCGGCCTTGACCCCCTAGGCTCAAGGGATCCTCCCACCTTCCCTCCCAGTAGCTGGGACTACAGGCATACGTTACCACAACTGGCTAATTTTTATTTTTGTTATGTTTCTATGTTGCCCAGTCTGGTCTCAAACTCCTGGGCTCAAGTGATTCTCTTCCCTCACCCTCTCAAAGTGCTGGGATTACATGCATGAGCCACTGTGCCCAGCCCATGTTCCTCTTTCTTTAAACAATGAATTCCACTCATTATTCTTATATAAGCCAGATCAGCGTCATGCCCTTTGAGACTTCTCCTTTGACACCCTGGAATAAATGATTCCTTCTTCCTCTGTCACAAGACAGTGTCATATACTCCTACTGGAGGATTTACCACACTCAGCTGAAATTGTTTTTATTTTGCCACCATTGAACTAAAAGCTGTATTTGGTAGGTAATTAGAATTTTTGTTTGATTTTTAATATATGTTATCCCACTTTAATTTTTTCCAAACAGGAATTATTTTTTTAATCTACCATTTATTATTACTATTACTTTATTTAAAAATACTATTATTAGGCTGGGCGCAATGGCTCATGCCTGTAATCCCAACACTTTGCAAGGCCAAGGCGGGCAGATCACCTGAGGTCAGGAGTTTGAGACCAGCCTGGCCAACAGTGAGAAACCCCATCTCTACTAAAAATACAAAAATTAGCTGGGTGTGGTGGTGGGCGCCTGTAATCCCAGCTACTCAGGGCACTGAGGCAGGAGAATTGCTTGAACCCAGGAGGCGGAGGTTGCGGTGAGCTGAGATCATGCCATTGCACTCCAGCCTGGGTGACAGAGCGAAAATCTGTCTCAAAAAAGAAAAAAAAAACGATTATTATGTCAAAAGTTGGAACTATATACTCAGAGGAAAAAATAACATTTTACCTAATCTTTAGTATGTATAAAATTTTGACTATTTTGTTTGGATATTTTTGTTATTTGTTTTCCTTTTTACTTTCTATTTATGAATAATATTATTTTGTTTATCTACTGTCATAAAGTCATATTTTTCTCTTCTGATACTTTCATTTATATATGTGGCTCCATTGCATTTATTATTTAATGATTACAGGAAAGGAAGAGGTAGAAATGTCTGACTTCCAAAAGGGAAAGTAAGAAACACTTGAAACACGTGAATGGCAGCTGTAGTTCTTATCCTGCTTCAGAACACCTGTATTCTTATCTTAGCTTTAATAAAGAGTACAGATACTTGTTTGATCTTTTCTTGTTGAAATACATCCATCCATAATTGTGGAAAAATAGAGCTTCTTTTAATTTTGTGAAAGATAAGTAATATAAGCTTGTGCATAAAAAGCATTCTGGCCTTTTCAGATGAATCAATAAGAAGAATGATCATCAGAACACTAATAAAAATAGTAGCATTATCATAAGATATTGTGGTATTATACCAAAAAACCCTGAGTTTAATTAAAATTCATGTATGGTTCAAAGAATAATTTTACACTATTAGACGATTATCTGGTTATTAGTTGTAAATACTTCAGAATAAGAGCATAGTTGAATAGGGCACTTAATACAGATCAGTTATGTGTTTTCTCAAATGTGCCTTTTTGACAGAAATATGTATTTCAAGGTTTTGGTATCTTTTTTGAGGATTTCCTACCACATATTTCTCTTGAATTCTAATTTTAAAAATACTCAAAGTCTACCAGATAATTCAAAATAAAATAAAAGTTAAAATAAAAGCCCTTGCCTTGCTTTTCCTTTGGCTCTGAGCGGAAGGATCAGAAGTGGCTGCTGAGACCACCAGCGAAGAACAGCTGTCTTATGAAACAGCAGGAAAGAGTGCTCCAGGAAGGACGAGAGGAACTCTAAATAGAGGGCTTTAACATGAAAGCGTGTGTGTCTGGAGGGCTAAAGGCAAGATGACTGTGAACTTCTGAAACTGGTAAATAAAATGGCATGGCAATGTAAAAGAGAAAGCACACCAAATATAAACAAAACACAGAAATGTTCAAAGGAAATGCAACTGAAATTTAGAACATTCTTTAACTTGAATATTCCTAACCAAACATTTAGTAAAAAAAATTTTTTTTTCAATAAATGTTAAAAAGTCACCTGACACTAGTATTTCCTTTAGGTAACATTTTCATGCACACTGGCAGGCAGCAAAATGAACTGAATTTATTAATTTCTTATTTCCAACGGTGGTGCCTGGTGACTTGGACCATCTACATTAAGCAAAATCTGTGCCTCTGCCCACTCTACCCTTGCCACTGAGCATTTTTTTTTTCATCTCTTCCTAAAATGCTGCTCAAAAGCGTCATCTTGGCCGGGCGCGGTGGCTCACGCCTGTAATCCCAGCACTTTGAGAGGCTGAGGCGGGCAGATCACGAAGTCAGAAGGTCGAGACCATCCTGGCTAACACACAAGGTGAAACTCCATCTCTAGTGAACATACAAAAAAATTAGCCGGGCGTGGTGGCGGGCACCTGTAGTCCGAGCTACTTGGGAGGCTGAGGCAGGAGAATGGCGTGAACCCGAGAGGCGGAGCTTGCAGTGAGCAGAGATCGCGCCATGGCACTCCATCCAGCTTGGGGGACAGAGCGAGACTCCGTCTCAAAAAAAAAAAAACAAACTTCATCTTCCTAATGCTTTCCAAGATCACACTCCTTCTGTTATGGGCAATCCTAGCATTTATTTTTATGTACCTCTGTCCAGAAGCTTCTGTTTCTGATTATATTTCTTTTTTTTTTTTTTTATACTTTAAGTTTTAGGGTACATGTGCACAACGTGCAGGTTAGTTACATATGTACACATGTGCCATGTTGGTGTGCTGCACCCAGTAACTCGTCATTTAACATTAGGTATATCTCCAAATGCTATCCCTCCTCCCTCCCCAGTGTGTGATGTTCCCCTTCCTGTGTCCATGTGTTCTCATTGTTCAATTCCCACCTATGTGTGAGAACATGTGGTGTTTGGTTTTTTTGTCCTTGTGATAGTTTGCTGAGAATGGTGGTTTCCAGCTTCATCCATGTCCCTACAAAGGACATAAACTCATCCTTTTTTATGGCTGCATAGTATTCCATGGTGTATATGTGCCACATTTTCTTAATCCAGTCTATCATTGTTGGACATTTGGGTTGGTTCCAAGTCTTTGCTATTGTGAATAGTGCCACAATAAACATACGTGTGCCTGTGTCTTTATAGCAGCATGATTTATAGTCCTTTGGGTATATACCGAGTAATGGGATTGCTGGGTCAAATGGTATTTCTAGTTCTAGATCCCTGAGGAATCGCCACACTGACTTCCACAATGGTTGAACTAGTTTACAGTCCCACCAACAGTGTAAAAATGTTCCTATTTCTCCACATCCTTTCCAGCACCTGTTGTTTCCTGACTTTTTAATGATCGCCATTCTAACTGGTGTGAGATGGTATCTCATTGTGGCTTTGATTTGCATTTCTCTAATAGCCGGTGATGATGAGCATTTTTTCATGTGTCTTTTGGCTGCATAAATGTCTTCTTTTGAGAAGTGTCTGTTCATATCCTTCGCCCACTTTTTGATGGGGTTGTTTGTTTTTTCTTGTAAATTTGTTTGAGTTCATTGTAGATTCTGGATATTAGCCCTTTGTCAGATGAGTAGATTGCAAAAGTTTTCTCCCGTTCTGTAGGTTGCCTGTTCACTCCAATGTTCACAGCTTTTGCTGTGCAGAAGCTCTTTAGTTTAATTAGATCCCATTTGTCAATTTTGGCTTTTGTTGCCGTTGCTTTTGGTGTTTTAGACATGAAGTCCACTGTCTCCCAGATTTTCATGTGTGTTTGGGACTTTTTAAAATATCCTTTGTTGAATTTCATTTTGTCATTGGATCAAATGGTTTTATGTGGCGCCACCATCTTCCTTGAAGAAATACTGCACTGGGTGCAGTGGCTCACATCTGTAATCCCAGCACTTTGGGCGGCAGAGGTAGGAGGATGGCTTGATCCCAGTAGTTAGAGGCTGCAGTGAGCTATGATTGTGTCACTGCACTCCAGCCTGGGCAAGAGAGCAAGATCCAGTCTCAAAACAAAACAAAAAAAAAAGAAAAGAAAGGAAAAAGAGAGAAACAATGCATCTTTTTGTTTGATTTGTGTGGTCCCATAATTTTCCTGAGTCTTCTGCCCCTTTTATACAATGTAGTCCCACAATCCAAAGAGCTTGATGATGTAGGTTATGGCAGAAACACCTCTTCGATAGATATATCTTCTCATGGCTTTGTCCTTAAAAAACACGCATAGATACACGCAAATGCATTTTTATCCATTTTGTATTACTTTCACATATACTTATGAGGCAATGTTTATGAATTCTTTCAATAAATATTTATTTTGTCTCTCCTATGTAGCCTTCCTTTGTTATTGCATCCAACAGTAATAGCTCCCTTCACAAAACTACCCTGCCCTTAAGATATGTGCTGTGTTATTAGGCAGTAAGATCCCTGACTTGTGTAAGGGAAGAACTCTCAATTCAGAAAGTATGAAGAGCTTTCCCAGGCTCATAGTCATTGAATGAGATGATGTGTATAAAGCCCTTAGTATAAAGCAATGGCTCTGAATGTTAGCTGTTATTATAGGTAATGGTGGTAATTAGTTCTACTTAATGGATTCATTTGCGATGTTTTTATCTCCCTAATTAGACTCTATTACCCTTTATAGCACTTATTGAATTTTTACTGTCTTGTGTTCTGTTTGCAGCTTTGCAGAGTGGACAAAGTATTTGCTAATAGCTTGATTGATGACAGGAAGGCAGAAGGCAGGGGAAAGAGAGGAAATATAAAGAACCAAAAAACCCTAAAAAGGCAGAAAGTCTGTGGGATTCAGATGGTCAATGGCAGGAATTGGGAGGAAGATGGAAGCTGTTGGAGAAGTTTCCCAGAAATAATATCCTAGAAGAAAGCTGAAAAATCTATTCTTCTGACAGTTTCTGGCTCAAAGGACAGTTCTGCAAAACAAAAAAATCTAAACATTATTTAGTCCTAAGACTGAAGTTTTGATCTTTTATTTTCTTTTACTTCTGTGTTCATCTACTACATACAGAAGGATCCATAATTATAATACAAAAGATTAAGTATTATTGTTCTTTTGAAGGCACAGAGTCCATTACCAGAAAACAATATTAATGGAAACTGCAATGCACAGTTATAGTCCCTCAAAAATCTACAAAATAGATTCCAGGAACATTACAATAAAATGTTAGACAAAGTGGGAACCAGGAAGGGAAATGAGTTTTAACAGAAAGAAAAGAAGTTTACAACCTCTTGTGGCTCAAGGGAGAAAAAGCTCACCCACATTGCTCTCTTTAAGTGTTTTTCCATGTTTAACTAGCTTCATGGAGATTCCCATATGGCTATTAAAGAATTATATTATCAAATAGAAAAATAATAAGTATATTAAAAACAGTATATAATCATGCTATTAGAAAGGAAGGACCAAGCTGTGAGCACATTATATTTAAGAGTTCAGAAGAGTAGGTACTCAATAAACGCCATGCACAGCATAGGCTTTGAGAGCCTACTTTCTAAATCCAATATATAACTAACTAAATAATGCAGCTTTGATAACCTTCAAAATAGAAAGTATATGGTCCATTAAGAGAACACATTAAGAAATCGTATTGACTCAAGCACAGATCCTTCAAGTGCCCATTATTAGCCAAATGCCTGCATCAGTAGTTACCCACACAGAAAACAGTTTTGTTAAATACACCTCGGGCCATAAATTGCCATTCTTAGTCAGCTATTGACCAATGTCTCCAATGAGAAACTTTAAAATTCCAATTTTTGCTTTAAACTTGCCTTTTTACATGGCATAGCTCATTTTTAGAATGTAATAAAAATCAGCATTTTTAAAAAAAGCAAAAGCTAGTGTCCAGCGGAAACATTCTTGCCTGGGCCACTGCTCACATCCATGCTGCCTCATGAAAGAAACAAAGTAGGAGGCTTCTTTTTCAATTACATTGTAACTGTCAACAAAACAGCATCCTAAAAGGAATCATTCAAGTCATTTTCTATCAAATGCCAAGGATACAAAATAGATTTTCTTGTTCCCTTGATGTATGCAGTACGAAGATGTTATCTCTGCTTTCTGAATGGACTGCACTTGATACAGACCTGGAAAATACATAATTAATCCAAATGTATTGGTTTTTAACTAGATTCACACATGGGCTGCCTAAATTAAATTACATTGTTTTCAGCTTCTGATCATGTAAGTAAGCAAACTTTTTCAGTCTGGGTTTCAGGCACAGCTCCAAAATAAAAGTTAAAACTCTGCGATTGATTATTCCCCGCCTTGGAAAACAAGGCTGCTCCAACTACTCTGGCTCATAGACTCTGGCAAGAGTTTCCTCAGTTGAACCTAGATCACTATCCACAATCTGTTCTTCTTCCTTTAATTTTACTGATTAAATTTTAGCTCTACCTTTTTGATCTGTGTTTCCTTGAGTTTATTACATTCTAGACTTCCTTTTCCACCTTTCTCTTCTCATATTGTTTTTTCTCCCTACTCCCCTCAAGCCAGCCTTTTTTTCCATCTCCATTATTTCTCTTGCCATAGCTTGTCTGCATTCACACCTACCACCACTATGGGAGCCTTCTGTAGTGTGGACTAACTAGCTATTATTAATACAACTCTAAAAGACAACTTGTAGCTTCTTTCAACTTCAGCATTCCACAGCCTCATTTTGAATCAGCAAATAAAGGATGGGTTTTTGTCTGCCAAAAGAAGGTACATGTAATGCACATTTAATTTGAGAAGGATTTAGCCCTCATGTAAGTCTTTATTCAGGTGTAGTTATTCAGCCGTTTATACATCTCGGAATGAGTTCAGTATGTGTCATGTGGAACCTGTTTGAAACAAATTTTAATCTCTGAAACTTACTTTTTAAGGAGGAAGTTGAAAATTATCTTTTATTTTAGCTGAAGGGGCAAGCTTAGGTGAAGATTGTGTGAAGAGTATGAAGATAATGTATCTGAAACAATATCCAGAGAAGGAAAAGCAAAAAAGGAGAAAATAAAGGAGAATGGAGGGAAATAAAGGAGAGGAGAAGACAGGAAAAGAGAAAGGAGGAGAGGAAGGGAGAGGACAGAAGGAGAGAAGGGGAAGCTAGGAGTAACATTAGTTTTATCAGGAGCATTGTTAACCATATTTGCTGTACAGGTTATATGTCAAACTTTTTGAAATCCTTATTCTATAGCTACAGAACTAGAGAAGAGCATCTTCTCTAACCACAGAGGAAGGAATCTCTATTTTTATAAGCTAAGGGAGAAAAAAATACCTTAGCCAGTGATATATAATAAAGTGATTATAATTTGTTACGATTAAACCAAGAATCTAATTTAATTTCGCTGATTTAATTAAATTAAGAGATTAATAATATTTGTTATAAAAGCTTATTGTTTTACAAAGTCTCATTCATAGAGACAAAACAGCAAATAAATGAATGGTCATCAATAGAAAATGGCTGTGTAAAAATAGTCCTATTGTATCATGAATTATTATGCTGTCACCATATTAGGGTATTTCCATGAGTTTATAATAAGTGAGAAAATAAAATAGAGAAAAATTATATAGTAATTATTGCTTTTGTAAATCAATAAAACTTCCCCATATATGTGTATGTATATATATATGGATAAGGAGATGTGTGCATATATATATATATATATATATATATATATATACACACACAATTTTTAATATATATATATTATATATATAGTGTGTGTGTGTGTGTGTGTGTGTGTATATACATATATATGCTTATCTATTATTATATATGCCTAGAGGAAAACAGAGAATAATATCTACTAAATAGATTTTCTGGTTTGATGCTGGGTGATGGATATGAGTGGAAGAGGATGGGAGAGAGAACAAGAACCAAATAGGAAGTAAGCAGAGGAGAGTGGGGTAGAGTAGTCATCGGATAAAAACAAGTATGTAGATAGAGTGTAATTAAGCATTTGTTTCATATGTACAGTTTATTATTTTTATAAAAAGCATATTTAATTATATGTAAATGAATTCATGAGTGTCTCTGTATAGAAAATTTAGTCTTTTTAAAAAAGAAAGAAGAGAACTTTATTCACTGATTCAGTTCTCTTGTCATTCTACCCAGCAACCACTAAAATCAAAATTATGCATTTAGAGCTCTACAAACAAGACATGCACATATGTCTTCATATCATTCATCTCATCTCACTTCTTCACAACTACACCACGAGATGTAAACTTACGTTTCAGGTTGCAAATCTCCAAAGGGCACAAGTAAAGCTAGATGTCAAAACTCTACAATGGCTATTCAAACATATGGGAAATGCCATAGTAACTAGACCATGGGTTTGACGAAGAGGCAGCTCCTTGATTGCAAAAATTAGACTAGCAGCAGAAACATGAGTAAATAATTTTAAAACTTGAAGAAAGAAATTTGTATCAGGTCAACAAACACAAACTATTTTTGTTGTATTATACGCATATATTAATCATTAACAGAGTTTACAATTTTTCAGATGCTTATTAGTCTTTTGCCCTTTTGTATCTAAACAGTTTTCTTTATGTTCTCATCTTCTGCAAAATTATGTGTATTTTCCTCTTGTACGATATTTTTAAATTGAAATTTTATTCTTATTGAATTAATGTATGCCCAATTTTAATGTTTAAATAATTCGATAAATCTTAAACTCTAGCAGTTCTTTGTCCAGCTCCTGCATGCCCTGATTTTGGCCACTCTAAAATCTGTTATCTGTGAATTTAGCTGTTAAGTCTAGGATTCACCTCTATATATCTAAATAGTATGTTAAAATGACTATATTTTGAGTTTTCATTTTACACAATACCTAATGAATTCCTATTATAGAAAATACACATTTAGTTCACTTTTACCTTATTTCTCCCCTGGTAAATAACGTAATACAAATTCTCTCAATATTCTTTTTCTTTTTTTTTTCTGAAAGCCAGTTTATTAAGAAAGTAAAGGAATAAAAGAATGGCTACTCCATAGACAAAGCAGCCTCAATATTCTTATGTAACAACTTTAGTTTGATCAATATTTAATCTTTATATTTTAAAAACTATAGCTATGTTACTTAAATTTGAGTCTTTCAACATGATTCTCTGGCTTTTACATCACTCTTTTGTTTCCTGTAAAGTTAACAATTGTTTTTATTCTGCTTGATTTTCCCTGTTCCTAGTGCTAATTTATCAACAAACTCCTCACTGCTGATGTAAAACTTAATTCTATAATGGGCAATTTATTTAGTGCATTTTTTTTTTGAGAAATTTTTCGTGGGTTCTCCTGTCTAATCTCACCTAAACTGATTTTTCTCTGAGCGTTGTTGCACAGCTTCATCTTGAAGCTTTCATTTACCATAAACCATTGTCGCTCTGTTATATTGTATCTTCTATTTCCTGAAAACCGTGGCTTCTTCCTTGGTATGCTTCTCTTGGGAGTACGTCTTCTTTCAGCCTCCTTTAAAAGAGTGCGAGTGAGATGATCTTTGTTAAGCTGACATGTCTGAACTTGATCTATACTTATGATTAATTAATAGCTTGATGGAGTGCTGAAGCTGAGACTGGAGATAGCTTTTCCTCAGAATGTTGATGATGTTGTTTCCTTTTTGCTTGCCATCTAGTGTTGTTATTGAGAACTCTAACATCATAATCAATCTCCTCCTTTGTATGTAAACGTTTTTCTCCTGTTAGGGAGTCTTTGGGATCTGTTCTTTCTACTTGTGGTTCTATAATTTGCCTTGGTGTGGTTTTGTCTTCTATTACTGTTCTGAGCATTTAGTGAGCCCTTTCTATTTGAAAGTTTATGCTCTCAGTTTTGGAAGTTTTCCTTGATTACTTCTTTAATAATTTTCTATTTTTTTCTTTTTCTATTTCTGAATCCTCTTGTAGTTAGATTTTGCATGCTCTATATTGAAGATTTTGTATGCCTTGTATTGGTAATTTTTAAATATTTTTATTTCCTCTTTTATATTTATCATAATACCTAGTTTCTACTATCATTCTTTGACAACTTCTAACCGTTTTAGTTATTTTTCAATAGAAAATCATAAGGCTTTTGTTGTTCTCTGATTTTAAAATTACATCCTAGTTTTTCAATGCAACATAAATTTTTCTTATTTCCCCAATAATTTTAATAGTAGCTGGTATTGTGTACAATTTTCTTTTCTTTCCAGAATTTCTTCCGTTTTCTCCAATTTTTACTTTTTTTTATTCGTTGGTATTGGTATGTCTTTCAGGCTCTTGCATGTCTATCAACCCTTGTGCATCCAATCACTTTTAAGAATGAAGTGCTAGGCCAGGCGCGGTGACTCATGCCTGTAATCCTAGCACTTTGGGAGGCCGAGGCGGGCGGATCACGAGGTCAGGAGATCGAGACCATCCTGGCTAACATGGTGAAACCCCGTCTCTACTAAAAATACAAAAAATTAGCCGGGCGCAGTGGCGGGCCCCTGCAGTCCCAGCTACTTGGGAGGCTGAGGCAGAATGGCGTGAACCCGGAAGGCAGAGCTTGCAGTGAGCCGAGATAGTGCCACTGCACTTCTGGCCTGGGCGACAGAGCGAGACTCCGTCTCAAAAAAAAAAAAAAAAGAATGAAGTGCTAAAATGTTACATTGGGGCATTTGTTTGGAGTAGGGCAAAACATTTCAACAGGTGGTTTTCATGTCTACATAGTAAAATAATCAAATGCGGATGTAAATATTTTATTGCAAAGCCCACACATGTTGGTATTTGTGAGTCACTTTTCCTAGGCCAGATTCGCCAAAGAAAACTCCAATTTCCTGCTTCGAGCTTAGAGGAGGGGAAGATATTAACTTGGCTTATAGCATTCAGAGATCTCAGAAGGGACAAGTGGCTGGAAACCACTTAATACAGAGCTTTTCCATTGTAATCACTACCCACCTCCACCACCCTCACCTAAAACTGGTGACTGATTATTTAAGAATGTTAAATGACTTTGATTATTTAAGAATGTTAGACAATAGCATAGTGAGAACTTGCCGTAAGCTAAATATTTTTAACTGCTTTCACACAAATTATCTCAGGTTTCATGTTTAAAGTAGATAGGGCCAGGTGCAGTGGTTCATGACTGTAATCCCAGCACTTTGGGAGGCTGAGGTGGGTGGATCACTTGAGACCAGGAGTTCAAGACCAGCCTGGCCAACATGGCAAAGCCGCATCTCTACTAAAAATACAAAAAAAAAAAAAAAAAAAAAAAATTAGCCAGGCATGGTGACGCATGCCTGTAATCCCAGCTACTCAGGAGGCTGGGATGAGAGAATCACTTGAACCGGGATGCAGAGGTTGCAGTGTGCCGAGATCATGCCACTGCATTCCAACCTGGGCGACAGAGCATGACTAGGTCTCTAAATAAATAAATAAAGTAGATTGGTAGTTTTTCCATTTTATACATGATGAAAATGATGTTTAGTAAAGTTAGTAAATCCCACTGTCAGTATGTTTGATGTGACCCATGAAGCGAATGGATATTAAGAAAGGCATTACGTGTTTGGTTGCAGTTTTTGCTTATACCTTTGTTATTATGTCCAATATTATAAATTAAAGCAGAAATCTGAGAGTTTTTACCTATTATCTGTTCAGAAGATATGACCCTAACTTTGTATGCAAATACTAAAAGTTCTCGGATAGAAAAGGAAAAGCTGTTCTCACCTTTTTCAGAGTCTCATCTAATCAAATCATGTTTTTCAGTGTAAACTGGTTAATATAAATATAGGACGATCAACCAAGGAGATATGAGCTGCCACAATATTGATAATCTACATCATTAAGAAATCCTTACTTCAAACAAGTACTTAATGCTTTTTTCAATGTTTTAGCCAGATAAGCTCGAGATTTTCCTGTCTTCCTGGAATACTGCTGATTCTGGTCGGGTTTCTATAATATTCTTCTTGGCCCAATTTCACTACTGGGACTTAGGTCAACCTAATTGTTGTAATTTTAATGACTCTAGTTTACTTGTCTCTGGCTAGTTCAGTGTGCTGTAAACTCTCCCAGAGATGTGAAGATGAATGAAAACTTCTCTAATTATTTTTGTAGACCAAATATATCATTGGCATCCAAATCTGACAAAGATATTACAAGAAAGAAATATTGAAGATCAATATATCTTATTAATATTGATGCAAAATACTAAATATTATATTAGCAAACAGAATTCAAAGTCACATTAAGAGAATCATACGCTATTACCAAGTTGAATATATTATAGGAATTCAAGGTTGTTTCAAGTAAGTCTATTATATCTCACATAATAATAACATACCAAAAAAAACTTCATAGATGCCAAAAAAGTCTCCCCAAATTCCACTCATTCCTGATTTTTTAAAAAGACTCAAGGTAATAGAAAACTTTTCTTGGTGTGGTATGATGCCTATATTTAGTTCTAAAGTTTATTACTTAATGGGGAAACAAGACCTATTTCCACTAAGATAAGAAACAAGGCAAGGATACTCATAGTCTCCAATAAGATAGTTGAATATAAAATTAGTTTATTAAATTAAATTTTTGGAATCATATAGTTCCAAAAAATAAGAAAGTACTTACAAATGATGATGCCATGTCAAAGAAACTCAGAAGCCAATTAATAGCTTTCATACACACAAAAATAATGAATTTGGTGTTATAATGGTAAGGAAAACTTCACTTATATTGGCAAGAAAGAAGAGTAAAAATTTAGGATAAACTAAATGAGAAATAGGCAAACCTATATAAGATAAATTTTAAAATATTCCTGAAAGGGTGGACTGCCCTTCCTATCTGGCAATAATAAGCTGCCCTGTCCTCTACTTGCTGGAGTGTTAGAGCAAGTCTTGAGGTGAATCAAGACTTTCACCACCACCCAGCAGTAATGAGGCCACCCTCTCTGTGGTGTCAGTGGAAGCCACAGAGGGGAAGTAACAAACAGTTTCTGTTCCAGCAAGCCTGAGAGGTATCAGTGACTGCTTGGTTGAGAGCCGGAATTGTCACCACATCCATGAGTAACAAGGAGCTCCCCACAAACTTGTGTGTCATTAAAGTCAGACTGGGGAACCTAAACTTTTAACCTAGTAAAGAGGCAGCATTCCTTTTTCTACTGCTGGAGTGGTATCAAAAGAAGACAGCTAAAATAGAAGGTTAAATAAGATCCAGAGATCCATACAATATTAATCAAAATATATGATTCAATAGAAACTACCCTTCTTATGAAGACATAGGAAGATCTCAAATAGAATAATAAAAGACAAGTGACAGATGCCAACATCAAGGTAACAGAGGGTTTGGAATTATCTGAAAAAGATATTAAAGCAACCATCAGAAAATTTTTAATGAGCAATTACAAACACCCATGAAATAATACTGTAAGCAAAAAATGAAAGATGTAAAGAAAAATAAAACGAAAACTTTATAAATAAAAAATAAAATAATAAAAAAATGGGATCAACATTAGAATGGATGGGACAAAAATAATTATTGAACTTGAAGATAGAATAATAGAAACCTAATTTGAAAAACAGGGAAACAAGTAGACTGAAAAAAAACTTGAACAGACCCTCAGAGATCTGTGGCATTATAACAAAAGCTCTAACATTTGTGTCATCAGATTTCCATAAGGAGAGGAGGAACAGGGAACGACTGAAAAACTGCTCAAAACAATAATGGCAGAAAACTTTCCCAATTTGCCAAAAGACATAAACATACATTTTCAAAAAGCTGAGTGAATACCAAACAGAATAGATTGAAATCCACACCAAGGAACATCATAGTCATACTTCTGAAAACTAAAGACAACGAAAAAAACCTTGAAAAACCATGAGAGAGAAAAGATACCTTACCTAAAAGGAGTCAACTTAAATGACAGTGGACTTCTCATCAAAAATCTTGGAAGCCAGAAAGCATGTGGCTCAACATTTTTCAAGTGCTGACAGAAAGCATTTAACCACAAATCCTACATTCAGGAAAAATATTATTCAGGAACTAAGGAAAAATCAAGGCATTCTCAGATACAGAGAAACTGAAAATGTGTAACCAGCAGACCAAAAAGAATAGCTAGAGGAAGTTATTTCAACCAAAAGAAAATGTAAAAAATGGAATCTTTGAATACCAAGGGGGAAGAAAACTATGGAAAGAGCAAAAATATGTGCAAATACGTTCCCTTATTCTCTTGTATTAAATTATGTTTCATGGTTGAAACAAAAATTATACCACTGACATGATTTAAAATGTATAAAAAATGTTTAAGACAATTATGATTGGAGGAGATAAAGGGAGTGTTAAAGGACATCAGATTTCTATACTTGATTCAAACCAGTAAATATATTCTGGATAATGAAAGCTGATTTCTTGCTGGATGGGGCAGGCATTAAAATAAGGAAGGAGGCAAAGCCAGGATGACCCTTGTGGAATTGTACTGGAACCAAAAAGACCAATATGTAGTCATGGTGGTTTTTCTTTTTTGTTTTTTTTTTTTAATTTAAATATATACAGTTGGCTATGGGTCTAACTGTGTATGCATGTATGTGCTTACATATATTTATTTTCAGGCTTAGATTATTCTTAAAAGAATTGTCCCTAAAAAACAGTGTGCAAATGTAATGCTGAGATATTCATTTATAAATACCATTTTCCAATAAATGGAAATAGATGATTCTAGGTCTGAGGTAAGAGGAGAAAGCACAGAATGAGCCTGAAACATCAATCATATAGTTCCAGAAACGAAGAAAGTACTTTAAAATGATGATGCCATGTCAAAGGCGCTTGGGAATCGACTTCAAAAAGCAACCAGTGGCCAAATCTGGAACATTTTTAGCCACAAAATAATGGTGCTAGTAATGTTTTCATTTTTGTTTTTAAAGACAGAGTTCTGCTATGTTACCTGTGAGCCACTGTGCCTTGCTGATAGTAATGTTTTATAGCCCATAGACCAAAGTAAATATCCATTAGATTGCACTGGGGTTATAAATAATGAATAGATAAATATATAGTAGAGGGAAAAAATAACTATTTTCAATAGTAGCATTTCAGTATATAAATACAAAAATAATAACTGAAATTAAAATCACCTTTTTGGCTGGGCGCGGTGGCTCACGCCTGTAATCCCAGCACTTTGGGAGGCCGAGGCGGGTGAATCACAAGATCAAGAGTTCAAGGCCAGTCTGGCCAAGATGGTGAAACCCCGTCTCTACTAAAAATACAAAAATCAGCTGGGCGTGGTGGGGCAGGTGCCTGTAATCCCAGCTACTCAGGAGGCTGAGGCAGAGAATTGCTTGAACCCAGGAGGTGGAGGTTGCAGTGAGCTGAGATCATGCCACTGCACTCCAGCCTGGGCAACAGAGCAAGACCCCATCTCAAAAAAAAATCACCTTTTTTGTTTGGTTTGCAGACACACACTGTAATCATTGTAGTCAAGAATTATCAATGTGCACCAAAATTAGTTGGGGAAGGTGTTATGAGAGACAGGATATTTGCAATATTTCAAAGTATCTGCCCATAAGATACTTATTAGTTAAAAGTGAAAATACTAATATTGCGGGACAGAAACTTGGCAAACCTCATTTTAACAGTTATCAAATGTAATATCACCAATAATGAGACATGTCATCCTATATCTGATATGAGGCACTGAGAAGGGTGCAACAAATTTCTGTGGTCCTCTTGCCAAATATGTATGACACATACTCAAGCTGACTAATGAGCAATGTAAACTTAATGCAATGATGAGTGCCGGATTAGATGTTAGGCCGGTGTAAATAAATTAGTGAGACAATTGATAAAGGTGAATAAGATGCAGATGAATCAATATTATTATATCAATGTTAATTTTTAAATTTTGATAGTTATACTATGGTTATGCAATGTGTCAACATTTGTTAACGAGTTGAGAAAAGGGTTTTGGGGAACTCTTCATACTATATTTGCAACTTTGTATAAGTCTGAAATTATTTCCAAATAAAGTTAAAACAGGTAAAAATAAATAAAATAACTAGTGTGACTTCTGTCTCCTGATTGTTCATCAGCTATGATTTTAAATTTGTTGGTATAGTATATATTAAAACATTTAGAACTATATATAAAGATAATTTAATACACTATAGAATAAGTTCATTATTCTGTTTGGTTTGCCCTTAAATGATTTTAAGTTAAAATGTCCTTAAACATTTATTACCATTGTTACATTATTACCTTTTAAATTCAAATTTAGATTTATCTGTAGTCTATAATTTAAAAAATCTCTTACTTTTTCCTGTCTTTTAGGTAAACTTTTCATAGTTGAATAAAAACCAAGAACAGATTAGTAAGTACTAAAATAGTATGGGCCCTTATCATTGTATCTTTTCCAAATAAAGTTATCCCAGTATATAATCTTTACAGGCAAGCCCTATTTGGCAAAGAAACTATGTCCAAATGTTTGTGTTTCAAACATAGAGTAATTATAAACAGTGTAGCAACTTCTCATGATTGGCAAAGAAGAACACATATTGGGGTTTTTAACATTCCACGTAGTTTTATTAACATTTATCTTCAGTTAGGCATTGAGTACATGTGAAGACAATATTGGAATTGAGATAAAATATATACACTTAATGTTTTCTGTAAGGATAAGACAAAGATAACATCTTATTTGATAGTTTGAACTGGTTGGAATTTGACCAATTAGAATGAATAGCTTTGCCTGAAAATCTTTATCTTGATGGTCAGAATTTAGATGGGTAAGCTGCCTGATTAATTCCAGATTTCAAATATTTTCATTCCAAATTTTCTTCCTGGCAGGATAATTACCAGGAATAATATAGATGAGTACAAATGTTTTTGGAAAAATTTATGTTGTTTAGGGTTAAAAATAAGTTCACGATATTTAAACTTGGTCAACTTAAATGATATTTAAAGTACTTGGTAAACTTTGTCATCTTCTAGTTTCTAAACATTTTTTGGAAATAATCCTTGCAAGGTTTTGTAATACTCAGTGTTCTCTGGAAGATGAATTCCAGTTGGCTGTATTTCATAGCACCTGCAGCTTTCGGAAATAACTAAGATTTTCAGTTGACATGTCCTAGATATTAATTTATGTTGTAAGTTAAAATGATTAAATTTGTGTGCTTGTGAGGCAAGGTGCTTTTGTTAAGAAGAACATTTAATGAAGAACAAATAAAGTCAAACAGTGATTTAAATCTCTATTTAAGAGAGAAAAATATATAAAAGTAATGCTTGGAATTTGACCTCAGCTGTTAAGGAGAAAAATGAATTACAAGAAAATGTAGAAGCATGTATCTTAGCTTATTTCAGTGTGGTTGTTTTATAACCTTAAAAAAAATACCATTTAAAGTATTGCATGTGTAACAAAGTGTTATTTTGTTAAATTATTCTTATGCAAATAAGGTTTGCAACATATACTAAAGTCTCATTATTTGTGTGTTGTCTTTCTGAGAGTTAGAATAAACAGTGAAAGATTAAACATAGGATTCAAGTTGCCTGTGGTTTGATCCCAAATTTTAAATGTTCATTGAGAAGAAGAGTTCTCTGAGGTCAGACACAGGAATGATACAGATTTAATTATGGTTTTGAGTCACAGCCCCTAAAACAAGAATGGTCCAGCAATGAGCAGGATAATAAATCAATAAAAGATTGGATGACAGCGTCACAAACCAATATTTTGCATGTGACCACATACCTAGATCACTACTAAATTTAGTTATTATTTGGAAATTCAAGGATATCCAGGGTTGGCCTGGGGATTTAAAATGCATGTTCCTCATTGAGGGTTTGGAATGGGTTAAGGATCTTTTAAAAGTATTTGGGGGTTTTGTCAAGTCCTGAGTTTTCCTGAGTTTAAATGCTTTTAGGAAATAGCAATTGGCTCACTACAGATGGTTTTAGGAAAAAAACAAAAGACAAAAACAACAACAGCAAAAAGCTTTTAAATATGTAGATCTTAGACACTAGACCTGCCTTAGACTAGAGGAAAAGATGGCTAAAAGTGATAAATTTAGGTGACAAATTTTCAGCTTTATTGCCTTGTCCATTTACTGCAAACCTGGAAAGATATAAAAGAAATTTGCTGAAAGGATGGGTAGAAGCACAGAAGCTGTTAAGGAGCAATTGTGTCCTTAGAAAAAGGAGCATTAGTTTCCAGAATATTTGTGGGATAAGAGAAACTGAGGAAACACTGAGGGATATTTGAGAGGGACTGATGGAAATACGCTCTTCCAGGGAGGCAGGCACTGTTTTTTATTGGTCAACAGTCTATTTCCTGAGCATAATTGAGTACTTGCACTCAGATGGTACTTAGCAAAAATTTGTTTAAAAAAAAGAAATTTAATCCCTCTCTCCTCAATCCTTCTCTTGCACTTTGCAGCTAACTTCAACTATAGTACATGTTATAGTATGTTGAATTTTTTTTTTTTTTGAAATGGAGTTTTGCTCTTGTTGCCCAGGCTGGTGTGCAATGGTGTGATCTCAGCTCACTGCAACCTCTGCCCTCTGGGTTCAAGTGATTCTCCTGCCTCAGCCTCCCAAGTAGCTGGGATTCCAGGCGCACGCCAACATGTCTGGCTAATTTTTGTATTTTTAGTAGAGACGGGGTTTCGCCACAATGGCCGGGCTGGTCTCAAACTCCTGACCTCAGGTGATCCACCTGACTCGGCCTCCCAAAGTGCTAGGATTATAGGCATGAGCCACCGTGCCCAGCCCAATATGTTGAATTTTCATGTAGCATGCTGTATGTTGAGAGAGAACAGACTTTGGAGTTGGAGAGATATGGCTTCCAATCAAATTCTATTCACTAATATCTTGATAATTTAGGAAATTTGCTTAACTCCATTGAGCTTCAGTTACCTCATCTGTGAATTAGGAATAATACCAAAATCATATACAAAAAGTTTAGCACAGTGCTTAAAATAAAGAGGAATGTGTATATTGAATAACATGAATGATACATTTGTAATAGAGAATGTAGAATAGAATGGAACAGAACAGAATAGAATAGAATAGAATAGAATAGAATAGAATAGAATAGAATAGAATAGAATAGAATAGGTTACAAATCTAAAGTAATATATCCGCTGAAAAACTTACCTGAATAAACTGGTTGCCTTAGAAATGCATCAAATGGCAAGTTCACTCATGATTGATGCCAAAATAGGTAGGTGCTATAATTCACAATTAATGAGTAGAGGAAACTATTATAGCCCCTGACAATGATAAATATTTAGGAGTTATTTGGGCTAATAATTTTGAGGTAGGACAAATTCCCTTTCCAGCAACGCTGAACAAAGTAGATTCTCTTTGTCATTGGTTGATGCTTAGTAATCCACTCCCGGAGCAATGCCAGAGGCCTAGACCTGGAAACTAGATTGCACCAACACCAAAGCAGAATTTCTGTCCTACAGGTTCTCCATAGACAGGGAGAGAAGGAAAACTAGCAGGAGAAATTTTGGAGTCCAGTAGGTCACTGCAGAAACCTGAATCAGAAGAGTGACAAATTGAGAGAGGCTCAGAAAACAGTATTCAAATCTAGCAGTCATCATAAGACCAACAGATAGAAAGCTGGAGCAAGGATAAGGAATGGGTTTTGGGTGAGAGGGGAAGACGAGAATGGCAGGTAGACCAAGGTTGTTGATAAAGTTCATGCTTGGCTTGTGTTGGGCTCAGGAACAAAAATGAGAATAAGTTTGTAAATGACATGAAAAAGAATTGGAAATACTGTGTAATTAAAGTTGCAGGGAAATCAGAAAAAAAATGTATTTCTAAACACATATAGAATGCCTTGTAATTTAGGTTCATATTCTCAACACATTTGGCAGAGTTTCCTGAAGAAAGACAAATCTTAAAAAGATATACAAAATCAGGGAAGAAAATTTATTGTTCAAAGAGACATTTTAAAATATGACTGGCCTTAAAATGTGAAAGGCACATTGAACTGAATTTGACCTTGGCAATTTGTAATAAAAGATGAATACTTTTGCAAAGATGGAATTTTTGTTTATCTAAATTAAATGATAAACATTATTCTTCTTGAAGTCTGCCTTATCCTAGATCTTCAATTTTCTTCAATGAAGGATGTCTTCAGATATTTTTATCCAAAGCTTTTTCTTCATTATTTTGAATATTCATTTTAATCTTCATTCACTAAGGAAAATTAATGGAATGGGATGGATTCACTCATAGTTAGATATGTATATATGCAATCTTTCCTCATTATAATTTTTACAACGTGGATATGTTTACTTTATAACTCACAGAGTATATCATTTTTATTTTCTTGCTATATCTGTTTTATTTTTGATTATAAAAAATGTCTCAAAGGATAAAATTAAATATGTGTTTGTGTATAAAAAGCAATTCTATGCAATGATTAGCCTCCCCATTACCCAGAAACATTTTTTATGCTGACAATTGATGAATCTCATGTTATGGCTCATTAGTAAACTTAGGTTCAGTTCCAAGTTTTTAGACATACTCCCAAAAGTCATTCAGTATAAACATATATGTACTTTACAGCATTTGTTGTGGTAGGTCAGAGGATATTGTCAATGATTCTGGTCTTATTTAAGAAGGCTCTGCAGTTTGGTATATCATTTGCACCCTACATACATAAGGAGCATAAAAGTCAACCAAGAACATAGCACTGTGGCATATCACATGACAAAGAATGGTATCTCTGGGATTCTCAGTCCTCATTCTGTCAGCTCATAGTCTAAACTTCAATGTTGACTTTTAGAAGAAGCCTAAGGCAAAATTTCAAAGGAGCAGGTAAGTGGAAAGTCTCATCTTATTCTCTACCAAGTCCAGGGCTGTTTGCCTTCCTTTTTGGTCAGCTTGTCCAACAGGTTGCTGTGGTGGGGTATGTGGGATGCTCTTTATGAAAGAGGCACTACTAAAGTCAAATAGCTCTTAAGTGTAAGAACTGAGATATGAATCCAGGCCTCCTGACTCCAGTTCCTTAGCCAAAATATATACTAAAGGTATTAAATAGCTAATCTTTTGCAAGACAGGTAGGTAAATTTGGGTTTGAGTCAATAATCAAGAAAGTACCCAAGTCTGGTTCTGTTTTCAAAGTAAAACTCCGTTTAATGACAGTAGAAATGTGACTTTATACTTTGCACTTTGAATTCAGAGTAGGGCTGTAAGTGGGCATTCCTGTTGCCTGATCATATTTCTTGCTAATCTCTTAATATTTATAGATAGAATGCCAAAAAATGTTAAGTGTGTGCTAATAGGTTCCTAAAAGGATTGGCCCTTAACTTTCCATATTAAGCCTTTGCTTATCTTGTCCAAACCCTCAGTTTTGTTGGAATTCTAATTACTAACCTATTCCCCTGTGCAGATGGTCATGGGAGGAAGTTCTTCCTCCCTTGACCAAAGTAATTTATTAGTTTGTTGACAGATTACACAAGGCTGGGTTTTCTGCTTATCACAGTTAATGTCTCAAATATGCCTGAGGAGTGTGTATTTTGTACTTGTAAGGTCATCATGTTGCCACAAGCTCTAGCCTGTTTGTTTGAACAGGGGCAAGAACATGCACATAGATCACTCAATAAGCATAATTGTTAAAGGTATGATGGCTAACAAAGATAAACATGGTCCCTGAGGAAGAGGTCATAAAATTCCCAGCATGTCTTCTAATGGCAACACAAATTTTATAAAAAGCCTATTTGATAGTTTGGCTTTACTCTTATACATATGTAAACAGTTTAGTTAACTTCCTTATTATGTATTTGTATCACAATAGAGTTAATGCATACAGAATTGTTTGTTAGTATTAACAAGTAGAATACCTGAAATCATCACATCTACTATTCATGAAATGTATCAATGTTTTTCTTAAAATTATGTATATATTAGTGCCAGTGTAAATGGATGGTTTCAGTAGTCCAGAGAACTTGTTTAAATTTCCTATTAGAAAATGAATATCTACTTCTATATGTCCCAAATCAGTGAACATTTCTGTGGTCTTTTATATAGTTTTAACATTTCAGATTAAATGTTTCATCTAATCATGCCTCTTCACAAAAAATTAAAGAATAAACATAAAAGTAAAAAGAGTAAAAAATTTGAAAGTAAAAGTAAAAAATAAAAAAATTCATCAGATTGTAAAATAAATTCAGATAAAAATTCAACTATTATCTGAGTGGCTCCAAAAAACTCATTGATGACTTTGTCAACAACTCAAGAATATCAGAGTTGTGAAGACAAAACATAGAAAAAAAAATTGATCCTTATATTGAAGAGATATTTCAAGATAACAGGTACTAATTATCATTTTTCCTTTTCTAAAAAATTTAGAATGCAAAAATTACAGTTGACTATTAACCAGAGTTTATTGAAGAATGGCAAGAAATGACTTGGTAGTGACTGAAGTAAGAAAGTGCCTCGCTTTTTGATCGAAGCATTACCTGTTTTCAAAGGACTATGTGGTCTAGAAGGCACTCAGGAGACTAACTTAGTGACCAGAGGAAAAAAAGGTTACTTATGGTTCTGCCTTGTGACTCTTCATTATCAGCACATTCCAGAAACTCATATCCCTTGCTTTTCCTTTTTTATTTCCTATATTCTTTCATATTTTTAAAGAACAAGTCTCACTTTGTAGTTTAAGATTGTAAAGATTGTAAAGTTATTTTATCTCATTGCTGTGAAGAATGCTATTTGTTGTTCATTTGTTAAATATTATTTTACTTTCTAATAAAAAACTTTTTAATTTTTTTATTTTTCACTTCTTTCATTTTATACCTCTTCTTTAAATTTCTCCTCAGAAAGTTTGTATTCTTTTTACTTTATCTTGTTATATTTATTCTATATTATTTTATTCATTTACTTTTTGTCTTCTACTTTACTCTTTACCTTTCTTTTTACCTTTTACTGCATTTTCTTTGTAATACTTATGCTCTTTGATTAATTTTATAGTTTAGTTTCTTACTTTATACTTTATTTGATTTTATTGCCCCTTTTTATAATGGCTATAATGGGATAGCAGCAGAGGAAGAGGTAGTTCAGAGCACTTGTTTATTCTTTGAAAAAAAATTATGTGACTATAATATACTGGGCACAATATTTGTGAGAAACATAAATTATTGAACCATTTACTCTATCTTTAAAACATGAATCTGGTGCAGTTTCTCTCAGCCATTTCTTTGAGATTAACTGCCCCCATAAAACCAAGTAAGAGATTGTTCTCTCAGGACCACTTGAGGGCAGGTGGTGCATGCAGAGGTTTTTAAACTGCACTTCCCTGATTCCTGACAGGAGAGCAGATTCAGGAACACCCATAAGGGATATTGGATAAGCCTGCTGACTAGCATGAATTTCCCAACTTGTGTTTTTTTCAAGAGGACTCCCAGGAAAAATCTCTTTCAGGAAGTCCTCCCTGGAAGTAGTTGTTCTTCTGAGTAATTCTTTTATTTTATATGCATTGTGAACGACAAAGCTGAGAGTTTTCCCTCTTTGTCTTGGCTTTTGGAATAAGCACAGTCCAATTTGTGCCTTGCTTCTTGCAATTTTGTAGCAGGAGTTTATAGGATAAACTTAGTGTACTCAAATTCACTTTTAGCTGCCTTTTCTTTCTTCTCCTTATATTCAATTTGCACCAATTTCTTTATTAATAAATATCCCTTATTTTGTTTTTCCTTCCTTATGCATTTTAAAAAGGTTTAAATTAGTTTTAAGAGCAAGGCAAAGGCTTTTTTTCTCATACTATAAAAAGATTTTAACAGATTGCATATTTTTGAGCAGAAACTATGCTCCATCTGCCTCCACTGGCACTGAATAGTACACTACCTGTCACAAAAGAGTGTGAATTCTAGTTTAATTGATTCCAGAGCAGTTCTGTGTTTTTATTGTCACATAGAAACCAAGTGTTTAGGATTCATATACACCCCCAAGTCTGATCACAGGCAAATTGTGCAATGATCATTGTTTCTAAGGTTCATATTTATTAAGCTTGTGTGCTCAGGGGGCTACCCTAAAACTGATTATGTCTTCGTTTCCTCTATCTTCTCTAACAGCTAAAGGTCTATGATTACAAGGCATTTCTTGCCAAGGCGTTGTCTTTCATAAGTCAATAGACATTTGCAGGCTTTTGCCTACTTATGATTGTGGGGTTTCCCTACAGCTTACTCTGTTATCTTAGAAAAAAATGTTAAGTATCTTTTCTAAGACTGGATATTTCTTAGATATACATATAGTAAGGAGTAGACTGTTGCAAATTTATGGGAAGAGATGAAAAGAGGGCAGATATTATGCAAGTCTCCATCAAGTTATTTAAACAGTAATACATTTGAACTCTTCTTTAAAAGTAAAATTATGTCTTTATTATCCTGCATATACCTAAATGTAGTTCTATATTTGGGGAAAGATTAGATTAGAACTAAAGGGCACATTCTTCAGGAAAATGTCTGACATATAACCACTTGCTGTTCCTTATTTATGTATTTCTCTATATCAAACTTAAAGAAAGATATAGAGAAGTTATTCACATAGACTTTGTATAATGAGGAGATTCCTCCCTTCTTCCTGAGCACAGCAGAATGGAGATGGTCAATGGGGCCACAAACGAACTCTTGGGAATGAGCAGATTAACACTTTTCCTAAAAAAAAAGAGTGATAAATTATCTAAATTCTTCAAAATGCTTTTTAAATTTGGTTGAAATTTTAGAATTTTTAAAATTCTGACAATAGTAAAATGCCAATTGTTAGAGGTGTTCCTGTTTATGTGTTTGGTTTAGGTTAATACTGTGTTACCCAATGTGACTAATCTTTGAATTATTAATGTAATGTTCATAACTTTTGCTAGCAACTCACCCAGAATGGTCAACTCTTTGTTATTGTGTAGTATTTATCACCTATTCTAAGGCATTATAGTATTTATTATTTTGACAAATTTTCAAATATAAGTGCTAGTCTCTAAAGCAATGGTTTATAAGCCATATCTTTTAGACATTACTATTCTAATATAGATCTTTTCCCATTAGATTCAAAACAACTTGAGCTTCCTTTCCAACAGAAGTCTCTACTACCTTTCAAGTTGCCATATAACTTGAAATGTATTTACTATTCCTTTTTGATGAACAAAAGAGGTCCGGTTTCACAAATGCTTATCAAGTTCAATATTAGGTGAGATTCTGTATTAGGCAAAGACGAATAAAATGAGATTACAGTGTACTGGGAGAAACATACATATACAAATAAATTATAATGAGATTTCTGCTTTGGGCCAAGATGGAGTAGAAGAAACAAGATTTACCCTCATGACTAAAACAAGAAAATAAGAAACAAAAAATATAAAGCAATGGATCTCGACATTACCCCTCAAGCAACAATGGCAGTTATGTGAGTGAGACAGAAAACAAATGAGGTGAGTTCTGTGATTGCTCTAGCCTACACGTTTCTGGAACTTAGGGCAGAGCAAGGACCCAGGGAGAACCTGGCAGTCTCCCTGAGTTTAGAAAATGAATCCGAAAACTCAGGGAAGTCAAAACACCTAGAGTTTGAAAAGAAAAGCATGGGAGAGGAAAGAAAAGCAAAGAGAGAGAACTGCAGAGAATTTATCTCACAAGTGTTCAATTGAAGGCTGATCAGTACATGTGTGTAAGGAAACCAACCACCTTAAATCATTAAAGGCGACAGTGTCCCGGACTTATAAAGGACCAGCAGTAGTGCCAGTTTCCAATATCTAGAGAAGAAAACCTCATAATTCACAGAATATCAGATAGTATACTCAGAAGAATATGCTTCAGTAGTGGAAAACATTAACCCTGACAAAAGGCTATGCTCATTCTTCTTAGGAAAGCATTAAGACAAGAGATCTCAAAGAGTGAACGCTTTCCAATTAACTTAAATGCCTTGTAGAACAAAGGAATCAAAAAATATCCTGGCCCAAATAAGATAAAATTCATGATGCATGTAATAGAAATTATGAAGCTTAATATAAAGAATAGAAATTATGAAGCTTAATATGAATTATTAATAGAAATTATGAAGCTTAATATAAAGAAGCAAGGAAATGTAAGCCATAATGAGAAAAAAAATCAATTAAAAATGATTCGGAAAAAAGGGGATGGAGTCAATAAAGAGTGAAAGAATAGTTTTTACAATTGTATTCAATATGTTCGAGAAGCTAAAGGCCAGATTGGACATGTAAAGTGCAGACATGAAAGAGGTAAAACTAAAACATCTCAAGTCTAAAACAGATAACAATCTGCAATGCCTAACAGAAAAATACAGTGAGTAGAGTTAACAGCATTTTGCAGAAGAAAAGCACAGTAAATTTCAAGACATAACAATAGAAACTATTCAAAAGGAAATACAGAAAGAAAAAAGATTTTAAAAAACGAACAGAATATCAGTGAACTGTGGGACAATTCAATTCAGCCAAATGTATGTAAATACAGTCAGAAAATGACAGGGTGGGGTGAGGTGACGGAAAAAAAATCTGTGAAAAAACACTGGCTTAATGAAAAACATAAATTCAAGATACAAGAAGTTCATGGTAGCCCAAACATACGTACACACACAAATAAAGAAAATGACACCATGACACATCATAATCAAATTGCTTAAAACCAATGATTAAAGATAGCCTTTAAAGGAGCCGGAAGAAAAGATTCATTATAGAAATAGAAACAAAAATTAGGACATCAAATTTGTCGTTAAACAATGAATATTTAAGGAGTGGATCAATATCTTTAAAGTCTTTATCTAAAATTTAAAAAATAAACACATCAGCCTAAGATTATCCAGCAGAAATATGTTTCATAAAGAAAGAGAAAAAAAGAAAAAGACTATTTCAGACATACAAAAGCTAAGAGAATTTATAATGAAGGCATCCGCACTACAAGAAATGTTAGAGAGAGACCTCGAAGTAGAAGGAAAATGATACCAAATGGAAATCTGTAATGACAGAAAAATGAACATTAGAAGTAGTAAAGAAATGGGTGACTATAAAGACTATTTAAGTCTCATTAATAGATAACTGTTTAAAACAAGAATAATGATGTTTCCTGTTATTTATAATATATTGAAATAAAATGCATGATAAAAATAACTCAAAGACCATGCAGGGTCAAATGGAAGTATGTTGTTTTAAATTTCTTACCCTGGGAATGAACTAGGACAGCATTACATGAGAGTAGAGTGGTAAGTTAGTGAGGTATACTATAAACCTCAAACCACCACCAAAATAACACCACAAACACCTACATCTACTAAAAGCAGCAGACATAAAGTAAAATACAGATAAAATGCAGACATCCGAGGGGCTGGTCTGCTGCGTGACTTGGCACGGCTGAAGCGCCAGTCGTCCGGCAGGACCTCACCCCACTAATTCCTGTCAAGCAGCTTCATGGACACGTTGGCCAGTGAGACGCCCCTGTTGCTCTCTTTCTTTCTGAGCTGTTTCTCTTCCCTCTGGTTCGGTTTTCTGAGAGCGTGAAAGGAGAGGGTCTGGGGACACCCCACGCCCCTTTTGTGTCTGCCCATCGCAGGTGCCACTACCACCCTGGGCCTCACCATCCCCTGTATTCCTGTCTTCAGCAAGAAGCAGATGTTAATTTTGATGGTTGGATTGGATGCTGCTGTCAAGGTGATCTCTGTATAAGGTAAAGTTAGGGGAGATGGTCACTATCATTCCTACCAATGGTTTTAACGTGAAAAGAGTAGAATACAAGAGCATATGTTTCACAGTATGAGAAGGTCAAGATAAAATTAGGCCTCCCTGGAGGCATTACTTCCAGAATACCCAGGCTCTTATTTTTGGCAGATAGCAATGATTATGAAAGAATTCAGGAGGGAGCAGAAGAGCTACAGAAAATGCTTCACAGAGATGAGCTGGGAGATACTGTGCTGTTGCTTTTTGCAAACAAACAAAATTTGCCAAATGCTATGGCCATCGGTGAAATGACAGACAAATTCAGTCTCTGTGCAACAGAACATGGTATATTCAAGCCACTTGTGCTATACAAGGCACTGTTCTGTATGAGGGACTTAACTGGCTGGCAGGTGAGCTTTCAAAACATTCAATGAAACTGGTTATCTAACCAAGGACATGTTTGATAGAATTGAAACTAGGCTTGTTACAACAAAACTAGTTTGCATCTTGGTTATTATACAATCTCTGGGACTCCTTAGGCAGACTATTACAGCATTTAAACTTGTTTTGTTGCCTTTGATTGTTTACCAGGTATGATGTTACTATTTAGCAATATGCTTGGTTTTAAAGAAATTCTCCTGGGAAAAAGTATCCTCCTTTAATTTTATAACCGTAAATTCCTTGCTATTGTGAAACCTTTAAATAAACCCATTTGAATGCTTTTTGAGCCCACACCAATTTTTTTTTCTTTTTTTTTTTTTTTGAGATGGAGCCAAGCTTGCTCTGTCACCCAGGCTGGAGTGCAATGGCACAATCTCGGCTCACTGCAACCTCTGCCTCCCACGTTCAAGCAATTCTCATGCCTCAGCCACCCAAGTAGATGGGATTACAGACTTCTGCCACCACGCCCAGCTAATTTTTTCTATTTTGTTTGTTTGTTTTAGTAGAGACGGGGTTTCGCTATGTTGGCCAGGCTGGTCTCGAACTCCTGACCGCAGGTGATCCACCTGCCTCAGGCTCCCAAAGTACTGGCATTACAGGTGTGAGTCACTGCACCCAGTCAACAAATAATGTTTTAAATTATCACCTTGCTACTTTACTGATACCTTTGTCATTCCTGAGACAGTCTGCTCATTTAAAAGTGTAGCATTTTATTGGTATTTATTTATCTCCCTTGCCAAAGAAGATTTTTTAAATACTGCTTATACCAGCCAGGAAAACGGTCCAAAACACTATTCAGTTCTCTTGCGCTGAGGAACTTATTTTTTACCTCATACTGATTCCTTACTTCCATCAGCCAAACTTACTTTGGATTCGATAGCTAATTAGTTATGTGACGATTGCAAAGAGTTCATATTGAGATGGTTTTTAATACTCAACAGATTGTGTTCCTTTATATTGTATCTTTTTAATGTTGAATGTCACTTGGTATCACTCTAACTCTTCGCTTAGTATATGATATCTCTGCTGATGTTTTATTTTTATTGGCAAATGTATTTTCATTAAGAGTTTTCAGAAAACTCATCAAATTCAATAAATAAGTTTCCTCATAACCCATTTGGAATTACTCCCAATATAATGACTAAAATATTTAAAAAATTAAAAAATAAAAATGAAATTTAGTTAAGAAAAGGAAAGTAAAAAAGAGGTAAGAGCAGACAGGACAAAGAGGAAACAACAAATGGTAGATTTAAATCCATTTCCAATACATAAAAATGTTTCTGTTATATTACTGTGTGCAAGATATTTATAAATGTCAGGTTGTGATTATAGGAGATATCTTTGTAACAATAAATTGTTCATTCTCTCCTGCCTTTTAAAGTGTCACTAAAATTATTTCTGCTTTCTTTTTCTTTTTTTTTTCAGTATGTCTTTTCTTATTCCTATATATTCAGGGTTTTTCAGAATCTCACATTCAGAGCAAATGGATACATTTTGTTTTATTGTCTGCGTTTTTTTTTTAAGTAGCTGACTGACTTTAAAATTATCATGTGTGATGTGCATTTTTTTCTAAACATTCCACATATGACATAGGTTTTCTTTTTTTTTTTTTTTTCTTAAAATTTTGGAAGTTCCACAATTTGCCCTCAAGACTGTACTATCAATCTAGTTAATTTTATACAGTATTTATTAACTCTAAATGTCAGCCCTGATAATAATAGGATTTTCTTTGGCAGATTTGTTTCTCCATTTTTTGATGAGTTTAATTTTGTTAATTTTCTCAGCATCTTCCTGTATGCCTGTAAAATAGGTATATGACAAATAGTTTTAAATTATATCTTTGAATGCTATCTATAAGAAACACAATAATAAGTATGTTTATATGTCTCATCATTTTTTAGCCATTATTCTCATATTTATTTCCATTATTAGTTCTACAGTTCAATGTATACTCAATGCTCACCACGATTTGTTTTTGTGTAATTAACCCTTTATTTTTTGGTTGTTTTTATTTTTTATCAATATTTTTTTCCATAAGGACTTATGAGAAATGTGTTCTTCCCTATAACTCAAAGTTAAAAACAAAAACAAAAACAAAAAGCCAACTACTAACACTAATAAAAAGTGGGTTAATGACTTGAATAGAATTTTCTTCAAACAAGACACACAAATGGCCATCAGGCATCACTAATCACGAGGGAAATGCAAATCAAAACCATCAAGTGATATCACCTTAAAGCTGTTAGTATGACTGTTATAAAAAAAAAAAAAAGACAAGTGTTGACCAGGAGGTGTAAAAATTGGAACACTTGGACACTGTTAGTAGAAATGAAAAATGGTACAGCCACTATGGAAAACAGTATGAGGATTCTTAAAAAACTAAAACTGCAATGTGATTCAGTAATCCTACTTTTGGATATTTATGCAAAAGAATTGAAATCAGGAACTTGAAGAGATATTAGCATTACTTTAACAGTTAATCGCAGCACTATTCACAATATCCAAAATGTGAGAAAAATGTTAAGTGTCCATGAATAGATGAATGGATTTAAAATTTTTTTATATACATACAATAAAATACTATAGTTTAAACAAGGGGAATTCTTCGATATGCAACAACTTGGATGAACTTTGAGGACGTTATGCTAAATGAAATAAGCCAATCACAGACAGGTAAATACTGCATGATTCTACTTATATGAGGTATCTAATATAGTCAAATTCATAGAAAGAAAGAATGGAATAGTCATTACAGGGGACTGGGGAGGGGGATGTTATTAATCAGTGGGCATAAAGTTTCTGTCAAGCAAAGGTTTAAAACACCTATTTAACTTTTCTGGGAACTGAATCAGACCCCCGATTCTTCCTGAGGAGTGCATAGCTGAAGAATCTGTTTTCTCTTCCCCCCATACTTATTTGAGCACGGAATAGGAGATGGCTTTTTTATTAAGCTCACTAATGGGTTTGTATTAGAAATTCTCATCAATCTGAAGTTCTGAGAGCTTCTGATGGGCTCTGATGAGCAAATTCTCATCTTCTTTCCCCTCTGTCTTCCCTACTCTGTTCTTCAGCGACCCTGGCATTTTCTCATCTTCTCACTCTCCAAACACTCTTCTTGCTGAGAGCCTTCTCAGTTGTTGTTATGTAACCATAGAACAACTGTGCTAAAGCCCTATCCCTTACAGTAGAAAAGGAGAAGGTTGTGATACAGACACAAAGAGGCATAACTATTTAAGAAGTATTGCTGTTTTTATGCTAAGCTAAAATATCTATGAAGGTATAATAGAGAGGAAGACAGATGGAGCAATGATCCATAAGAAACGGAAGAATGTAGGACAAACAGTGCCAGTGGGTGACTTTGCATTGAGCCACAAGATGGACACAATCTTTAAAACTAGAGGATCAGAAGTTGGCATGGATGTTTCATGGGGAAAGAAGGGGGAGATAGGAAATTTTTTAAAAATTGTCTCCCCAAATTTTCTCTGTGAATTCTTAGACAAAGTCATCTTTTGAGAATAACCAGAATGAAAGTTAATTTTGTTAGATTATAGATGTTTTCTGAGAGAGATGGTAGGAAATTGAATATATATATGTGAGTGTGTGTGTGTATGCATATAATACATAGTTATATAAACATATACATATGTGATTTTACTTATAACCAGGGCTGAAACAGTCACAATATGGCATTGACCTAATTTAGAGAGATTTCTAAACTAATATAGCTAATACAGTGATTCTAAGAATAAATTCGTTGGAAAAAAATTCCAACAGCCTGTTAACTATTGGCTTGTTAATTTTAAGAACAGGTATCATGAAAAATAGTGATTTTCATACAAACCATTTGTATGGCCTTACAAAGACATCCCTGCTCATAAGATTATTTTCTCAGGATGAATTTGAAATCCATATAACATATAAACTGGAACATACATCAAAGAATCATGTACATGAGTTTGAAACATTTTATAAGTGAACTTTGCATACCTTCAAAATCTTAAAAAGAAGAAAACTTTCATTTTTTTTTCAGCAGGCCATTTGTGAAATTTAGCATAAAATTCTGTCTAGTAAAGTTATATAATTTCTCCCTGAAAACCTTTCTTTCAAGTCATTGGATAATTCAAAGCTGTATGGGATAAAAAGAAATGGTTTTTCCACAGTGCATAAGATTGTAACCATATGCACCCAATAGTCCAATTTCTACTATTGGTTATATTATGTAAAAATAAATGACAGAATCTCTGCATGGAAAGCCAATATTACAGGGAAGTAAGTGATACAGTGAAAATAACCAGAGTGTTGTCTGTTAACTGTAACTGGAGTGTATTTGCACTGCAGTTTCTGGAATTAGACTGTTTAATGTATGTTAAGCAAAATAAAAGAAAATTCAAACATACTGAATAAAGTCAATAACTAAAAATATGTGCTATTTACATGTTTCAAACTTTTTATTTGCTTGCTTTTTGTCTTGTTTTGTTTTGTGGTATAAGTATTATTTTAGGAGAGATGAAGTAGGAACATGATTGATAATTAATATTCATTAGGGAAATTTTGTGATCGGGAGTGAAGTTTTACGATTCCTTCCTCCCTTCAGCCATTTATGTAAGTAAAGCAGTTTCATGCATTGAGACTTCCCATAAGATTAATTTTGATAAGAGAGTTTTCTAATACAAAGTTTCAAAACTGCTGGGCACTGTCAGAAAAGAACACCCTTTCCACAATTCTGGTTTTCTTGAGAAGATATTTTCCCTAAACATACTGCTATCATTGCCCTAACCCTGTGTCTAAGATGGAGTTATTCAGTTGATCAGTTAGTTGATTGATGAATGCCACATATTGGTCTACAAGTCTCAATGAGATGAAGTGAAGCTCTCAAAAGTCCACTGCATGATATTTGATAGCTTTAATGCTTCTTTCTCTGTTCATTCTAAACATCAAAATAAGCATGTTAAATCTGAAGACAAAATTTCCTGTGTTTGGTTACCCCAAATTTCAGTCTAGGGGTAGTCTCCTTAGCATAAGAGTAGGTTATCTGACTCTTATAACAAGTTATGTAACCACATTTTATCTGTATAATAGGATATTTTTGGCTTTCAGTTTTGTTTTATTTTTGGCTTTCATCTTTGTTTTATTTCTTAAATTGATCAGAATCTGGTCTGAGAATTAGGTTGATGGCTGCCTCTGACATTTCAATTGATTAGGTGATCTTTAAGGGCTTTCTCCTCTATGAGAGGGGAATAAAATTTACTGCCGATTAGTGAGTGATTACTAGGTATCATGCATTATTTTGTGTAATTTTCACACACCTTCACATCTTCTCTTTTAACTCCTCTACAATCTGATGTGGTTACTATTCTTATGCTTATTCTACTGATGAGGAAACATAGACAGAAGGATTTACTTACTTGCCAAAGGACATAGCTTGTAAGTGGTAGAGTCCAACACAAATTCAGTGCAGTCGGAATTTAAAGGCAATTCCTTTAAAAGATATTTATATCGCATTTAACATGAAACATATGACAACATGTCCTGACTAAATTAACATGTGATGTTTGTATTAAGTGAAAAATATAAAATTTAAAAAAGGAAATAAACACAGGCACCCATAATTTAATCATCTTCTATCTGATTGACTCCCCCACCCCTTTTAGTCTTCTTTTCCTCATCAAGTTAATGCTGATAGACTTGTTTGTCCCTCCATAACTTTCCTCTTGATCTGACAAACATAGGAATTCACATATATAGATGACTTGGGCTTTTTTATTTGTATATTCATAACCAAAATCTACAAATTACTATAACACTTCTTATTTTTTACATAACTGTATATTATACATCAAATTCTAATTTAAAATTAATTTATTCATGTTTATTATTTTACATCAATTAGATCCACCCCCTCTTCTTTTTATATGACTGCATACAGCAACCTCAGTGTGTACACACATAATGGAGTAAAGTCTGGGTGTACTTAAATACTTTTTTAAATGCTTATATATTTCTATAAAATATGTAGATTTATAACTTGAGTTTAGATAAATCCACTTTTAAGAATTCAGCCTTACAAAGGGTTTCATTTACTACTTCTATTTTGTCTTGCAGAGCATTTCTTATTATTTAAAAGGATTTTTAAGGATTTTCTTTGCTTCATGAACAGATGGGCAACATCACATGAGAACCACCCACGTCAAAGTTTTATACTTAATGCATTTTATGGCAGGTTTTCCATTTGCAGGCTCACAGTTTGTAAATTCATACCACTAAAAATATTGTGCAACATGCATCTCATGACATTATTTCTTTTGTTGATTATGGTATTGTAGGGGCAGAAAAGGAGTGATCTTTTTCTTCTTCATAAGAGCAATGGCCAACACCTCTATAACAAAAGACATGTTAGAGAAAAACTTAGCACATTTATTTGATTATAGTTTTCTGTGACATGAGAGCCTCCAGAATGAAGACCCAGAGATACAGGGGAAGATATCCAATTTTATGCTTTGGTTCAATGAAGCAGGGACAGCCATGTACAAGTGTGATTGAACAGAAAAGGACAGGAGCTAGCAGTGATAGACTCAAGAATTCTAGCAGGGCCTGTTTGTTCAGGTTCTTCTTGGCCTCTCTGTACAGAATTTCTTCCTCCCACGTATGGGGTAGGACTCCTCTGAAATGAGGGTCTTAATTTCTTTATGGCCAGCTGTTCCACAGAAATGTGGGGAAAATTCAGAGTAATATTTTTAGGCTTGATAGCTGACTTTAGGGAAAAATGATTTTAGTTTCTATGACTTGCCTCAGGCATGGATGAGGGGTAAGAGACAGGAGACAGGAGGGCAGGAGAAGGTCAGAGAGAAACTGCTTTTGATGCCTTCATTTTGGGGTATTATTTTCAGAGCCCCAGTAGTATCATTTACATTCTTTTCATGGGTTTCTTTGGTCTTTATTCTTCTGTTTTTTTCATTAACTGTCACATTACATAAACTATTTATACACATACACACGGATGTTCCATATGAGTCTGAAATAAAAATGCATAATAGTTACAAAACAATTTAAAGATAAGTTAGATGGTCAAATAGTAGAATGATTAATGAATTTGTAGGACTATTCAGTTTTTCTTTTTCATTTCATTTTTAAAGTTGTACTTGCCTAGCAATTTATTTCAAATTTGTTGGCATATGTTTATTTATATTATCTCATTATCCTTTAAATGCCTGAATAATATTGATATTAGTTATTTGTAACTTGTATCTCTGTTTTAAAAAGTTTATCTATATGTCTTGCCACAGATTTATTACTTTTATCATTATGTTCTAAGAAACAGTTTTTGCCATCTTGATTCTCTTTGTTTACTTTTTTTTCTTAATGTTTCTTTTTTTTATTTTTAGTTTTTGGAGACAGGGTCTCACCTTGTTGCCCAGGATGGAGTGCAGTGGCATGATCTCAGCTCCCTGCAACCTCTGCCTCCCTGGCTCAAGCCATCCTCCCACATCAAGCTACTGAGTAGCTGAGACTACAGGTGCGTGCCTCCAGGCCTAGCTAATTTTTGTATTTTTTATTGAGATGGGGTTTCACCATGTTGCCCATGAAAGGTGAAGCCAGCTGGACTTCCTGGGTCAAGTGGGGAATTTTTCTGTCTAGCTAGAGGATTGTAAACACACCAATCAGTGCTCTGTGTCTGGCTAAAGGATTGTAAGTGGACCAATCAGCACTCTGTAAAAGGGACCAATCAGCAATCTGTAAAATGGACCAATTAGCAGGATGTGGGCGGGGACAAATAAGGGAATAAAAGCTGGCCACCCTAGCCAGCAGTGGAAACCCACTTGGGTTTCTCTTGAACTTTCTAGCTAATCGAGGGTACAAGGCGTCTAGGTTGAAGGCCCAGCTTTGCCTACAGCAGGTCAAATATCTAGGCCTAATCTTAGCCACAGGGACCAGGGCCCTCAGCAAGGAATGAATACAGTCTATACTAGCTTATCCTCACCCTAAGACATTAAAACAGTTGCGGGAGTTCCTTGGAATCACGGGCTTTTGCCGACTATGAATCCCCAGGTACAGCAAGATGGCCAGACCACTCTATGCTCTAATCAAGGAGACCCAAAGGGGAAATATTCATCTAGTAGAATGGGAACCAGAGGCAGAAACAGCCTTCAAAACCTTAAAGCAGGCCCTAGTATGAGCTCCAGCTTTAATCCTTGCCACAGGACAAAAATTCTCTTTATACGTCACAGAGAGAGCACAGAGATAGCTCTTGGAGTCCTTACTCAGACTCGTGGGACAACCCCACAACCATTGGCATACCTAAGTAAGGAAATTGTTGTAGTAGCAAAAGGCTGGCCTCACTGTTTACGGGTAGCTGCAGCGGTGGCCGTCTTAGTGTCAGAGCTATCAAAATAATACAAGGAAAGGATCTCACTGTCTGGACTACTTATGATGTAAATCACATATTAGGTGCCAAAGGAAGTTTATAGCTATCAGACAACCACCTACTTAGATACCAGGCTCTACTCCTTGAGGGACCGGTGCTTCAAATACATATGTGTGTGGCTCTCAACCCTGCCACTTTTCTCCCAGAGGAGGGGGAACCAATCAAGCATGACTGCCAACAAATTATAGTCCAGACTTATGCCGCCCGAGATGATCTCTTAGAAGTCCCCTTAGCTAATCCTGATCTTAACCTATGTACCGATGGAAGTTCATTTGTGGAGAATGGGATACAAAAGGCAGGTTATGCCATAGTTAGTGATGTAACTATACTTGAAAGTAAGCCTCTTCCCCCAGGAACCAGTGCCCGGTTAGCAGAACTAGTGGCACTTACCGGAGCCTTAGAACTGGGAAAGGGAAACAGAATAAATGTGTATACAGATAGCAAGTATGCTTATCTAATCCTACATGCCCATGCTGCAATATGGAGAAAAAGGGAGTTCCTAATCTCTGGGGGAACCCCCAGTAAATACCACAAGGAAATCATGGAGTTATTGCATGCAGTGCAAAAGCCCAAGGAGGTGGCAGTCTTACACTGCCGAAGCCATCAAAAAGGGGAAGGAGAGGGGAGAACAGCAGCGTAAGTGGCTGGCAGAGACAGGGGAAGACCAGCAGAAGGGAAAGACAGAAAGAAAGTCAGAGAGAGAGAGGGGAAGAAACAGAGACAAAGAGGGAGTCAGAGAGAGAGAGAGAAAGAGACAGACAAAGAAGGAGTCAGAAGGAGAGAAAGAGAGAGACAAAGAAGAAGTCAAAGAGAAAGAAAGAGAGATGGAAGTAGTAAAGAAAAAACAGTGTACCCTATTCCTTTAAAAGCTGGGGTAAATTTAAAACCTATAACTGATAATTGAAGATCTTCTCTGTGACCCTGTAACACTCCAATACCACCTCGTTGTTGCCTTCCATTTCCAGAGTTTTTGTTTCAATATGTCTAGAGTCAGGCCTGAGAATTTTCATACCTAATAAGTTAGGGTACTGCTGGTTCAAAGATTACACTTAGAGAAGAATTGCTCCAAAGTAGGCTTTCCCTTGGTGTGGGCAGATGACTGCTGGGAATCCTGGGACTACCCTATTTTTTGGTATCTGGATCATACGCCCAGCCCAAACTAATCATTAAAGCCTGGATGTTCCAGATGGTCAGGCCTGGGTCATATGCTCAGCCCTGTATCTGGAGACAAGGTCACATGGACTGAAGAAAGCAAGGACCCACAAAGGATATTTTGGATACTATTACAGAAGAAGGCTGGGGGGCAGCGCTGGGCAAGCACAAACATCACATATTCACCAATGTCCTCTAATTCACAGCTCGACTCTGATTTGAAGAGTAGGATGGTTAAGGACATCAGAAAGAATTTCACAGAGAAAAGGGTCGAAACAGAGCATGCAAAACCACAAAGGTAAAAATAATCAAGGTGGGGTGTGAGATATGTTGTTCCAAAGTAATTTATTATCTATTTAAAAAGGAAAGAAATTGTGCCATTTCTGACAACATGAATTAATCTGGAGGACATTCTGCTAAGTGAAATAAGCCAGGCACAGAGAGACAAATACTGCGTGGCTTCCCTTATACATGGAATCTAAAGTAATGAAACACATATAAGCAGAGAGTAGAATGGTGATTACAAGGGGCTGGAAGGAAGGAGAAATGGGGGTGTGGGTGAAAAGGTACAAAGTTTCAGTTGTGTAAAATAAACATCTGGAGATCTACTGTACAACACAGATTACATGCCTGGTTATTAGCAATATTATAATTAATAATACTGTATTAAATGCTTTAAAATGTGCTAAGAGGATAGATCTTATGTCAAGTGCTCATACTCCAAAAAGAAAAATAAATAAATTTATTTTTAGAAACAGCAATAAATGGGGCTGGGAGAAATTTTTGAGGATACTGGGTAAGATTACAGTATTGATAACAATGATGGTCTGATGGCTTCACAGGTATACACCTATCTCCAAACACATCATGTTGTGTATACTAAATATTTACAGCCTTAGTACGTCAATCATACCTTAACAAAGCAGCTAAAACTTTATTATTGAAGTGGGGAAGCTTTTAGGAATTAAAGAGAGCATCATTAACAACAACGTCAGGACAATAAGTGAAACCAGGAACCGTTCTGTACAAACCAGAACTTATGGTTATTTCAATCATGGATTTTGGGAGAGTGGAGAAAAATAAAACTAAAAATGTCTGCTGGAACCTGTTCAAAAAGAAAACAATGTCTTGCTGAGTGTTTTGGAATTTGTGTTCTGGACAAAGCATTTTCATCATCATACCTATCTTAGACATAGGGTTAGTGAAGTGAGAGAATTACTGCTCATAGACATGTCAGAGTGGGCATTGATGCAACCTAAAGGACATCTATGTTTAACCACTTAGATGACTTTGACACTTGACTTCAGCCTTTAAGCTTCTCTGATTTATATTTTAAATATAAATGTCTTAGAGTCAGAGACTGTCAATGGCATTTGATGGGCCATTTTGGGACATTTTGATTATTTATAGTTTTTTGATAATTAATTTGCATAAACATTTATTTTTATCAGCATATTTAATTAGTTTGACCACAACCTGAATCCTGAGGAACAAAGTAAACAAATTTTAAATCCTTTAGATGACTTACCTGAGCTCAGTTTCCATCATGCCAAAATCTGTTTGTCCTCTGGGCCCTATGGCCATTATATATACAGCTGCTTATACCCTAGACAGCATTTTAAAGCTATTTTCATTTAGTAGTATATGATACTAAGTGCACTCATGTTAATATATATTATCACAAAATTTATTGTTATTACTAAATATATATATTATATATATATGTACTAAGTATGTGTGTATATACATATATATATATATATATCCCTGTCAATAATAACTTTAAGTGACCGGAAACTTCACTGAAATGCAGCGTTTTGACTTCAAAATGTAATGGTATCAATCATAACTTGGAAGAGTATGAACATTTTCAAAACACTTCAATGTACAAAAAACCACAGTGACTGAGAGGAAACTGCTGCTATTTATTTGCAAATTACTTGCTGAAAATGTAGTTTAGTATCAACGTGTTGCCCAGCTATAGAAGGGCAGCATTCACTTTGTGTTCTATGTGAGTAGAAACCGCACAGTTGTACAACATGGTTGATCCTCAGTTACATTCAAAATTTCCCAAAAGGTATAGCTCTTTATTGCAGATGCTGAGTTATTTTTGGTTTTTACATTTTATTAGTCACTGTTACAACAAAATTTTCTTTATAAAGCTTTTTACAAATCTAGGAAATACATCTTCCTTGGCAGAAATGATTTCTGCTAGTCTAAGTGGAGCCTGCTCCAAGAACCCTGGATGTTGATCTGAATTATTTCATAAGCATCCTTTCCAGAAACACATTGACAAAAGTCCCAGAATGCCTGGATGGCTCTGAGAGCACACCCTCCCCATGAGACTGTGATAAAGTTACTCATTTTTAGAGCATTAACTTAAGAAGTTATAGGAAAAGATGTTTTTTTCTTTGGACTCACAGTTAGCTATAACATAACAGCAATAGATAGAAAGCTCCCATTTGCTGGAGGAGTGTCCCACCAGCCAAAAAAACAAAAACAAAAACAAAAAGTATGTGGAGGAAAAAAAAATACAAAACAATACAAATACAACATACTAAAGCACACTTGAATTTTGAGCTTGGGAAAACTTAGTGTCCAAACACAGGTAAAAGGGTTTCCAAATAAACTGACCATCTGAGGGATATTTTCCACAAATTTTAGTGTTATTGGAAATGGATAATTTGAGAACAAGCGGGGAAAACAAAGGAATAATTCTTTAAGCAGGCATGTTCTCCTGTAATCTTGCCCTTGTGAAAAACTGCCCGCAAGCATACTTAAGGGCTTATTGTTCTGTTTTCTGTGTGTGTGAGGTATGATCATGCATCTGGGGAATTAGTTATAGAATGGAAAACGTTCCCTGGCCTGAGACTACAGACAGAGCTGTTCCGGCGTTGCTTTGGCTTAGTGACAACATGTTAAAATTCCTCTTAGTGCAGCCATGGTGGAGTCTCAATTTTTCTCAAACAACAAGATAAAAATTATTCTAGTTTGCAGACCTTGCTTGATCGATTTTATGTTTGACCAAGAAATCACAAAAGCAACTTGTATATTCAATTACATAATAATTTTTAAACATTATTTGTAAATTTATTTATTTGCCTCTACATGCCATTCAATATCTAGCTAAGCAAACAAGTAAAACACATGTGAATATTTGTATCACTGTCCAAAAGACATAGATGAGCAGCAAGGAAATAAATGCCATGACCTTTTACTTGGCTACAGGTTTGTTGATTGCGGACAGATGTTTAATAGGTTTTCATTTTCTTTCCATTTTTTTTAAATTGTACTATGTCTCAATTATTTGGAGATGATTTATCCAGTTGTCAACACCTTTAATCTAATTTCCTAAAGCTTGGTGTAGATTGTTACTGGGTGGTGTTACTGGGTGGTACGTAGAAAAGCATGAGGAAGTTTCAGCATAAATCTGCTAGTTTTCTATTGATACTACTTCAGTAAGTTTAGTGGAAGAGAAAAATATGCATGTACTGAAACATTTATGAAAATGGTACATTGTAATATGTCTTAAGAGTGAATTGATTTTTTGTAACTGTTACAGTTTCTAAAATGCTCAACAGATCCTATTTTGTTTTATTTAGACATGCTTTTCAAAAATTGCTTAGATAAAATATTAATTTTCATCAGGTTTGTCAAAAACAGCTCACTTTCTTCTACTTGGAATGCTGCTTGCTTGGTTTCTGGAAAATATAAATATATTTCTTGAGATATGCTAATTTAAATAAAATTAAATAAAAAATGCAAATTTAATTTTTAAAAAATTTTAAATACTTTTTAAAAATAGAAAAAAGAATTGAAAATAATTTTATCATGTCAACCTCATCCTTTTGCATTTCGCGTCAGACATATTAACGTAGTGTGATGCCTGGAACATTTTAAGAATACTTTGGAATTAAAAAATTTATTTGCTAGGAAAATTTATTTTTTACTTACTTACTTATTTCTTTATTTTTTGAGACAGAGTCTCAGTCTTTTGCCCTCACCCAGGCAGGAGTGCAGTGGTGCAATCTTGGCTCTCTGCAGCCTCCACCTCCTGGGCTCAAGCGATCCTCCAATCTCCACCTCCCGAGTAGCCGGGACTACAGGTATGCGCCACCAGGCCCAGCTAATTTTCTTGTGTGTGTGCATGTGTGTGTGTATATGTGTGTATGTGTGTGTAAGTGGGATTTCGCCATGTTGCCCAGGCTGGTCTTGAAGTCATGGGCTCACGTGATCCACTGTCTCAGCCTCCTAATATACTGGGATTACAGGCATGAGCCATCGCACCGGGTTGGAAAATTTAAATTTCCATAGCGTTTACAGAAACTTAGGAAACAAGAGAACTCTAATTTTCTAAAATCGAGAGCTAACTTGAAAGCAAAGAGGAAACAATTTATTGTTTGCCAAAGTTGTAATAATGTTTGACTGTGGTATGATTAACAGAATTGAGTAATGAATTAGTTTATGTTAGATGATTTGACGTAATTATTTAACCTGCTGTTTTATTGGTTTGTTTTATTTTACATAATATGACGATTAAAACTGTGATTTGACAGTATCTTTTAAAATTTATGTATTTGGTTAACCACTAGTTTGTATCTTAATCTAAAAAACCCTGTATTGATGTTTTCTTTGGTCATAAATTCTTCTTAATTTATTATATTACTAAATTTGAAATATTGACATTAAATTTCGTCAGCTGAAACATTAAGGAGATAATTTTTTTCTCTCTCTCGGTAGCTTTTGAAGGTGGGGAAATTGTATGAAACCAGTCTCTGTGATAGATTTATTATCAACCTTTACTTCTCTTGTTTGGATATATAATAGATATTTTCTTAAAATAATATGCATGTAAAATACAGCACATTTTTAATAGAAACACGTCTTCTAATATTTACATTGTGTTACAAATTATGTTAAGCTGTAACATCTCTCTTATTTCTTTTTTCTTTTTCTCTTCTTTTTTCTTTAGGCTTGCTCTCCTTTTTTAAATTGTACATGTAATATTAACTGTAGGGGGTTTTGAAAAAGTCAGGTGATATTGAACAATTTCACTATTAAAAACAAGAAAGAAACCCTGGATGCTTCTCAGTCTTTGGTAACAGAAAAACTTGCAGCATTTTTATTTTTTAGGGGAAGAGTCATAAACTCTGTTTTGTAGGTAACCTGGAAAAGGGTGTTTTTATCAGATAAATGGTCAAGACAGGGATATGAAGTCACTGACATCAATGCCTATTTGCATTATTTTTATGAAAAAAATGTTGTTGATACCAAAATTGGCACATAATCCAAAAAAAACAAGCAATTCAATATTTTGATGTGTGCTACAAAAGTGATGAATAATTTGGGTTTGTCCACATTACCAAAATAATAATAAATCCTTCAAAAATATTAGTGTATTAGATATCTTTCTGGGTTTTGAGATTTTGTTTCCTTTTAGTGCACTAGCAATCATGTAGATTTATTCATTTACATTTGTGTTTACCTATAAGACTTCTATATAGTATTGTTTGTAGTAAAGTATATTTAGCCCCTTTTTTTCTTACAAATATTGAGCAACAGCAAATTCTTTTAAGTGTGTGCATTTTTTAGGTATAAAGCCATGATTAATGTCTTTCTCTAACTTGTCTGAATTTTGTGCAAAATCCAAATATATATCTGGATTTCACAATAGCACTGCTTTTACCTCATTCTGTCAGGTCAAACCTTGTACAAACTGACTCCTTTCCTTAGCTTCAAAATATTAAAACTCAAATGACTCTGGATAGTACTATAGGTCATTTACTAATTATATATACAAACATAGTGATTATTTTTTAAAGCAGAACTTCTATGAGCTTCTGTTTCTGGTTGAGAATTAAATCTGTTTATCATTTGATATTGCAAAGTCAGAAATGATGTTATATCATTTTTAATTTAGCCTATCTCATTAGATGTAAAAATGTCTTTAACATTTGTTAATCTAATTATCTGCTTTGTCAAAATATGTAGTGGTCAGTAAACTTTTTTGTGTAGTTTTTGGTGATGTTACTTCCTACCTCCCTCATTGTGTTTACAATAAATATATGGTTTGTGTACAGCAAAAGACCATCAATATCTTCCTACTCAACAAAGTTTAGTCTAGAATTGCTTGCTGTAAACAAAGATGAGAAAAGGACACTTTGTTTACTCAGGAATGTGGTCTAATGTCTGAAGTTTTGCTTTTATGAGCTTAGCATGTTTTGTTTTTTTTTTCAAATGAATTTACGTTTTGTAAAGAAGCTTTAGATATTCTTTGTGATAGCTCAGTGTTAAGGCATAAATTTAATTTTGAATTCTTATAAATATTCTACATCATAAGTGATGTAGAAAATCTATCTGAACTACACAGTAGTGACTGTGGTAGTAGTGGTGATAGTAGTGATGGTAATAATAATTTCACTTATACCCATACCTAGTTTTAAAAGCAATTTTGCTGTGTGAGATAGAATAGTAAGACATGGCATACCTACTTTCAGGTGAAAAAACACCTTCATATAGCAAATAATGTACAAGCCCAAAGTGAATGGTAAAGGGAGTGCCAAGTAAATATCATAGACATATGAGGAACATAGAAATTTAAAGAACAAGGATCTTGAGTCAAAAGCACCTTTGTGCCAGTGGTGTGAGTTGTGTTGGCAGCATTTTATATGAAGTGAGCAATAATGGAAAATCCCAGATACATGAATGGATTCAGAATGGTAAGACTCTAGGATTTGAGAGACATTTTGTGGGACTGCAAGAAAGTGAATACAGGGAAAATAGATTAAACAAGCATTCTGAATAGTTTGAACTTTGTTCTCAAGCAATGGGAAGACAAACTACCATTTACTGGAAATTAGCTATTTTTCAAGTTTTGTGCTATGCACTTTGTGTGTATTATCTCTCTCTCTTTTTTTTTTTTAACAACAATCCATTTAGGTAGATAGAAAGATGACATGAAGAGAAATAGAATAGCTTTACTTTCACAAATTTATTCATTGTGTTAGAGAAATAAAATGGAAAGCATATATTCTGAGTGTGTATGAGGGTTAGTTAAATTAAGTTATTTTCATTTCTACTTTCCCACATTTTAGTCATGTATTTACATTGTGGTGAATAGACTCCATGTTCTAGATACTGAGCTGCAACTTACAGTGGTAAGTAGTTGAATTGGTTGTCAAATGAAGTTATTTGTGTTCCAGTCTCTGTGCCACAGAGCTTCTCAGAGGCAGTAGGTCTGTCATCAAAAAAATGGCACTGTGAAAGCCCTCTTATGTCACCATCTAAGATTTTGTCCAAGAGAATAGAAACTAAGAAACTGAGATGCTGACTTTGCCAGAGTCATAGAGCCAGGAAATGATGGATACTTAACAGCTCCCTTCCCCAAAACAACCTTGAATGGTCCACCAGATGGCTGGCATCAAGGTTCAAGTATGTTTGACATTGGGCTGCCTTTCTGATGCTACTGTGCAGTTCTCATTTTTCTGGCCTTACTTTGTTACTTGATATAGAGACACAAACTAAAGCTTGAAAAATCCAGTAAAGTAAATAAAAAAGCATTACTGTTTCTATTTCCAACTTCCCTTATATATCAAAAATATTCAGCTTAACTTCTAAAGCCAGAGTAGAGTTCATTCATGTAAAGCCATTTCTCCTAGAGGCTAAGATAGAAGAGATTTGCAGAATGGTTGGACAATTAAAGATGGAGTTAATCATTCTCTTTTCATTAGGAAGCACATTGCTACATGTCCAAGAAAAACAACAATTTTAAAAGCCCTATTTTGTCAATTAGCATAAAATATGGTATTTCTCTGGTTTACTAAGTCATAAGAAACTCAATTTTTATTACTCTTTTCTTTGATATTTTTTCCATAACTATATATTTTTTATTTTTGCCATCATTAGGAATGCATATTTGAAAGAAATATGTACCCACATTAAATAATCTTATCTGTGAAAGGCAATAGTAAGTAGCAAAATTGACTCAGTAGGCAGCTATTATGAATGCCTGCATAGTACCTCAGGAAATATTTAATAATTGGAGGCTTTAATATTCTAACACTTCTTTTAAGGTCTCAAGCTAAGAAGGATCGCTAAATTTCTGTGTCTTGAGCAAGTGAATATGAAGTAGAGATGATTTATGAGGTGAACAGGTAGTAAACAAAGTCATTTTAGGGCTCAAGCAACTTATTGCTTGTATTACCTGGAGAAAGTCCTAGTTTTCTCATTTGTTAAAAACAAATGGTATAAAAATATGTGTTCTGATTCATTGGTTTGGTATAGGATTTCATTACATGTTAGGAAAAGCAAAAGGTTTTCGAAAACTCTAGAACTTATTTCAAATAAACACTGTTTTAAAAATGTATCACTCCTAGTTATTATCAATGTTACTTCTTACCCTTTTGGTCCCCAACTTTTACTGTCGTTTTTCAGAATATAACATTTCAAATCTGTGGCTCCTTTGTGAAAATGTGGAATGGGGCTCTGAAACACTGAGCACATGCTAGCGTTCAGTGCTCAGTACTCTCAGTGAGGCTGCCCATCATCTCTCAGGGGAAGCCAGAGTGACAGCATCTCAGATCCACACTGTCCTTGAGCAGGGAAGTTGGGGCCCAGTCACAGCTCCTGTACTTCTCAGTGTGCTCATCACCTCTCTAGGGTTTCACTTCCTTCCATGGCAAAAAAGAGGAAGGTTGAAATAGCTGATCAATAAACTTCTTTCAATTGTTAAACCCCATGTTACTATGAACTACAGCTAGAGATGATGATCTTGGGATGCTGAGTAAAGTATTTTAAAACATAAATTTAGAGAAGTTAAAAGTAGAAGTTTTGAACAAATAACTAAGCCAAGACTTCATTACTTTTTGCTGTAGATTTTCCATTTTCATACTTTGTATTAAATTAGTTAAAGTGAAGGAAACATCAACACAAGTAGGTGTGTAGAAGGCCATCTGAGGGGAGATTAAAGTTTATTTATTTATGTGTTTATTATTTTTTGAGATAGGACCATGGTCTGTCACCCAGGCTGAAATGCAGTGGTGCAGTCATGGCTCACTCTAGCCTCAACCTCCCATGCTCAAGCCATCCTCCCACCTCAAACTCCTGAGTAGCTGGGACTACAGGTGCACACCACCACACCTGGCTAGTTTTTGTATTTTTTTGTAGAGACAGGGTTTCACCATGTAGCCCAGGCTGATCTTAAAATACTGGACTCAAGCAATCTGCCTGCCTCGGCCTCCCAAAGTGCTGGCCGCACTACAGACTGTACCTGGCCAAGCCTAAATTTTTAGAAAATGTAAGTTAAAATACCTTATTTTAAAAGACTGCATATATTTTACAAGTTTCTCAGAACATTTAATCAACATACTTTTTTATACTGATATTTAAGAAAATAAAAAACGGTGATTGAGAGCTTGAAATTTGGAATCAGAGACCTGAGTTAAATATTGGCTCCATCCAGTTTTATCACTTACAGCCATATGGATTTGGCCAGTTTTTCCAACTTATTTCAGCCATAGTTTCTCATCAGTAAAATGAGAATAATTTAGCACCTGACTCATAGGGTAGTTATGAAGATTAAATGAGAATATGTGTAAAGAACAAAGTGGAGTAGCAGTGAATATGTGAATGTGCTATAACTATTCATATGACTAAGGATAATTTGACTGATATATTAACAGTATTTAAAGTTATAAAATTTAGAACTAACATTCCAAGGTTAAATAGCTTATTGATGAAAAATATGATAACTTCCTTTTTATGTACTCTATTCCAGTCTTTTGGATTGCTATACCAACTTGCATTGATCACTCTTCAAAAGTCTCTCCATAGCTTACAGAATTTTTATTGGAACTTAAGACCAGAGAATGTACCAATGTGGAAAGTAAAGAGCTGTTCTGGATTAGAAGGAAAAAAAAAGAAATTTAATGTGCTTTTCCTTAGTTCTACTACTGTTTTTGCTTGCTTTAATGGGTGGAATGGAACTGTGACTATAATTAAGTAAAATGAATATTGAAATAAATATTAACTTCAGAATATAAATGGGAGAAAAGGCACTAAATACAAATTTGCATCTGCAAGAAGTGAGAGGTTATAAATATGTTGTTAGATCACCTATAATGTCTGCTTTAGGCACCTAGTTCTTGCAGTTTTACATTGAAACACAGAGACAAATACAATATAAATAAGTCATTACAAAGCTCTTAATCCAAAGAGAGAGATACACACAGAAATAATTAAAGGATTTCCTAAATAAAGGACTAGATAATGTGCTGTTGGACTAAAGTGATGGAACTTCTGAATTCTTTTTCAGAAGATGGAGAAAGGAGGCTTCCCAGGTGTTAACATTAAATTCTAGAGCAAAGAAAAAAAATGTGTAGAATTGTGTAGTTCCTTGTGTGGGTACAGAATTTTGGGGAAAGCAGCTGTTCAATAATAAGTCCTGATATTTTCTATATATGTTCAGAAATTAACATGCACTTACATTGTTGATTAATCCTCACACATATTTATGAATTATTATTATTATTTTAAATAAATGATGTAACTCAGTGACATGGCTTGACTCTGTGTCCCCACCCAAATCTCATGTCCAGTTGTAATTCCCAGTGTTGAAGGAGGGGCCTGGTGGGAGGTGATTGAATCGTGGTGGTGGACTTCCCCTTTGTTGTTTTCATGATAGAATTCTCATGAGATCTGGTTGTTTGAAAGTGTGTAGCACCTTCCTTATCCCTTTACTCTCTCCTGCTAGCCATGCGAAGATGTACCTGCTTCTGCTTCATCTTCTGCCCTGATTGTAAGTTTCCTGAGGCCTCTCCAGAAGCAGAAATCTGGAAAGTCTGCAGAACTGTGAGCAGATTAAACCATTTTTCTTTATAAATTACCCAGTCTCAGGTATGTCTTTATAGCAATGTGAGAACTAATACACTCAGACTGAGAAAAGTTAGTGACTTATCTAACAATATATAATACCTCTCAATTCAGTTTTCTTATTATTCTGAGGAAATGTTTTAAACACATGTGAGTTTGAAAGTAAAGTAAATTATAGTAAATTTAGGCACATTATTATAATAAGAAAAAGTACTCAAAAGGTAATTGCAATAGTTTATGAATATTAACATAGTCTAAAATGTGTACCACACATTCACTTTCTCTAAACCTATTAAATGGAATCAAGATTCTGAAAAAAACTGCAAGAAAACAATTATTTATGTCCAGTGTTGTCTTAAAATGTCATTGTAAATTGCAAGATTATTTATTCCTTTTTTTGTTTTTTATTTCGTGTTTAGTTGACCAGATGTTATCCACAGATAACTTCCCATAAGAATTAAATATAGAGCCAAAAGTATTGCATTAAAAATATTGTCAGTGAGATAGAAATCCAGGAACTGTATGTGAGAAACCTTAATCCTTCTCTTTATTTCACAAGTTGGGAACAAGTTCCAGTAGTAAGTAGGCAGGTGGTGTAATGAATATTTTACTATATAAGAAAATCCAGAAGTTACTTTCAGCTCTAGGTCTGCCATGTAAAAGCTTTGGGACTATGAATAAATTATTTAATTTTTAAATCACACTGTCCTCATCTGCAAAATAAAATATACTAGCCTAAAATAAAAATAATCTAGTCTAAATGCACTTTAAGATCCTTTTTAGCTTTAACTTTACTTTTGTAGAAAGCTTCAGAGGGATTTTGACATGCATTAAGGGATAATGGGATAATTTCACTAAATGTGTTAGAATGAGGAAAATAAAATTCGTTATTAGTGCATCAGGAACATAAAGAAATGTTGAATGGATTTTCCATGGGAGACAACAATGGCTCCATCCAAGGTTATAGGAAAAAAAATAAAGTGATAGAATATATCTTCGAAAGTAGCTTTTAACATATGTGCAGAGAATTGACACGGCACTAAGATATTTATATTTTAATCTATTATTCTGGTAATATTGCACAATATGGGGCTTGAATCACATGACATTCAAAAATAGGTTTGGTAAATCATTTTGAACTTCATTTTGAACATGTCTGCATGGACATAGGAAATGGAATGTTGAGTCTGTTTAAGAGGTTTAAGAGAGAAGAAGAAACAAGTTAGGGAGAGATTCTAGGGAAAGGGGACGCAGGCAAGAGGGGTATGTATTCACAACATTGTATTACTCCCTTATAACAGGGACTCTTGCAGACTGAGATTACATTTTGGAAGAGAGAGAGTTGAAATTAATGTTGACTTCTGGAAATCAAGCCTTATATTAGGTCACAAATGTACCAAAGAGGTACAAATGAAGAAATAATAAATGAAATAATTTATAAGACAGGTTATATGTGTGGAGGGAAACTCTCTGCATGCTGCATAAGTAGGAGTTCTGGAAAATGCCAACTCTTTTCTCATGTGTTACTTTAGACATCATTCCTCCATTAAGCCATTCTGAACCTATCTAAGTCTGGATTTTGTGCCCTCTGATAGACCGGGACAAATGTAGCCCATAAGAACTTGTATCAGTCACGATTGTCTTTATGCTTGCCTTTTCCCCCACTCAGAAGGTGCACAGGCAGGTTTTATCTTAAGCATTGTTGGGCATTGCACTTAGCTCCATTTTTGCCATGTAGTAGGCTGACACAATGAACTAATGGTCTGTGGTGGCAGAAATTAAGCTTGTTTGCAAAGAAACACAATATAACAATAACAATAAATACATCAAAAAATAGATGTGAAAACAGAAGTGAAGTGGTTAAAAGCTAGGGTTCTGATGAGGAGGAGTGTTTCTTATATAAGATGAACCTATTACTGTGTCATCAAGAATCAGTATCTTCATGATTTTCAGCCTTAGTTTCCAAATTTGTAAAACGGAGACAACAACAATGTCTATCTCATAGGGGATTTTAGAAGTTGAAATGAAATAATACATGCTCATGTATAACCTATGTATATGTAATACAAGACTAAGTGCTCAAAAATGTTTACCATTTTTATTAACCATAACTTCTCCTATAAATGTCATTAGAATACAGAAAAACAAGGAAGGATTTTCTCACAACAATTAAGTGTGTTAAAAGTAATATAGATTATTTTGTATCAGGAAGAAATTTCATCCAGCGTAAACACTTTTCATTTCAAAAAGTATGAGATTAGAAATTGTATTCTTTCAAAACTGTAGTCAGACTGTATATTTCCAGTGCCTGGCACATATCTGTCAAATATGCAAAGCCATTTCGTTTCATTTTTTTTTTATTATTATGCTTTAACTTCTGGGATACATGTACAGAATGTGCAGGTTTGTTACATAGGTATACATGTGCTGTGGTGGTTTGCTGCACCCATCAACCCGTCATCTACATTAGGTATTTCTCCTAATGCTATCCCTCCCCCTAGCCTCCAACCCCTGACAGGCCCTGGTGTGTGATGTTCTGCTCCCCGTATCCATGTGTTCTCATTGTTCATCTCCCACTTATGAGTGAAAACATAGTGTTTGGTTTTCTGTTTCTGTGTTAGTTTGCTGAGAATAATGGTTTCCAGCTTCATCCATGTCCCTGCAAAGGACATGAACTTATCCTTTTTTATGGCTTCATAGTATTCCATGGTGTATATGTGCCACATTTTCTTTATCCAGTCTATCATTGATGGGCATTTGTTCCCATCAATGGGAACAAGTCTTTGCTATTGTAAGTAGTGCTGCAGTAAACATATGTGTGCATGTGTCTTTATAGTAGAATGATTTATAATCCTTTGGGTATATACCCAGTAATGGAATTGCTGGGTCAAATGGTATTTCTGGTTCTAGATACTTGAGGAATCACCACACTGTCTTCCACAATGGTTGAACTAATTTACCCTCCCACCAACAGTATAAAAGCATTCCTATTTCTCCACATCCTCTCCAGCATCTGTTGTTTCCTGACTTTTTAATGATTGCCATTCTAACTGGCGTGAGTTGGCATCTCATTGTGGTTTTGATTTGCATTTCTCTAATGACCAGTGATGATGAGTTTTTTTTTTCATATGTTTGTTGGCTGCCTAAATGTCTTCTTTTGAGAAGTGTCTGTTCATGTCCTTCACCCACTTTTCGATGGGATTGTTTTTTTCTTGTAAATTTGTTTAAGTTCCTTGTAGATTCTGGATATTAGCCCTTTGTCAGATGGATAGATTGCAAAAATTTTCTCCCATTCTGTACTTCATTTCTATATAACAACTTGGAATATCACAGTTCTATGCACTAGAAAGGAGATTTCCATTTTTTTCTTAACCAATGAAACTTCATATCCTCTTTGGGAAGTAGGTCATTTAATGAGTCATTGGTGGAAAGAAAATCTACTTTAAAAACACAATACTTTCTCTTTTGTTTCACAGATACAAGTTTCTACAAGATGCATTTCCCTTTACAGTTATGATAGTTCTCTTTAGAATCTAAAGGTTAACTCTAGCTTGTGTGTGTATGGTGCATGTGCTGTGAATGTTGTAAGAAAGCCAATTCAAAGAGATTATGTAATTTAGAAGATAGATGCTTTGATTTTTTTTTCTTTTCTAAGAACCAGCGTGCTGCCTTTTCTAATACAAGGTTGGGAAATAGTTCTGTAGCTAGATGGGGATATATTAATATATACTCACAGGGCACATAATGACAGTGCAAAAATATGCTTTCATCAAGAACATAAAAGATGGAACAGAAGTAATATTTAACAACAGGTAGAGATTGGTTACCATGGCATCTATTACAGTGAAAGTGTCTAAAAAGCACAATCTGTTGCTCTATTTAATATAGTAAGTATATATTTTTGCGTTTGTAAAGTTTTGAGATCTAGTCTAATGCTTTTAATATATGTGATGCTTCTATATGCCTTAGGAATGACTACTATTTCAAAAAGAAAAGGTTCCATCTAGAACAATAACTCAAATATAATGAATAAGTTAATGCGTATATAGTATGGAAAACCATTCCAAATGATTCTGATTGCCACTCCCAGGGGATTATGACTTCCTCTCACTCCCTTTAAAATTCAATATGTTTTTTGGCAATATTTCTAGTTGTTCATACAGCAACGAGCCTCCCGCTTTTCTTCCATATGTGAATTCCATCTAAAGTATTACATTTTAAAAAAATCTTTTATAGTTACACATGGCCATATAATACATATATTTAGTGAATGACATTTATCAAAGTCTGGTAGGTATTTTTGAGAAAGTTTTGCTTTCTTGAATTTGGTCCCATACTTCTTTCTTCTTCTCTTGTCTGGAATTCAATATGAGGCTGAAATGGGAATTATCATCTTATAACCATTGAGACAAAAGTCACATGGTAAGAGTAACTTCTGTGAGGCCAGGAGTCTGGTTCTTCAGATTTCCTCAAGTGCCCAGATCTGTGTGGGAATGCCCTACCTGGTGATTTCTTATTACTCAAAAGACATAAATTGGTTTCTGACCACAGTAGAGGATTTCAAATTCATATAGATGAACATCAACTTAACCATTACATAATTAACTGCTGTGTATGGATAGTTATGGAGACTTAGTCCTGAAGTGTTTTTTATTAGGATTATATGATCTATATACTAATGACTCCTGTATTTATATCTCCATCTTGAAACTTCTGCCTATTTGTCTTGGTCATGTAATTGTCTGGAGTACTACAAAATTAACAAGCCCAACACAGAACCTCAAAGTACCACTTACTCACCAGCAGAAGCTGCTCATCTAGCAGAATTCCTCATTTCTAGCTACAGACTCTTCTGTTCAGGTTGTTTCCCAGGCCCAAAACCTTGGGATCATCCTCATTTACTCAAAACTCATATGTATCAACTCAAAAGCAACTGATTTTGTTTCTAAAATGTATTATGGTATAACCATTTTTCACTAGTTTTATTGCTATTAAATTAATTCAAACCACTGTTGCATGTTTCATGAGTTCTCCTAACTGGTCTTCCTACTTTCAATCTGTCTCTCCTTCCATGTATTGCAACAGAACATCAAAAGGAATCCTATTAAAGAGTGAGTCAAGTAGTGTCATTTGTCTGCTCAAAACCATCTCATTCACAAAGTCAAAAATATATGCTCACAAAGCGTGCACAATTTGTCCTCCAGTCATCTCTCCTAATACTCTCCACCTCTCTCACTCTATTACAGAGATTTTTTGGTGTGTACTTTTAAATGATTAAAGAATTCTGTCACTCATACTCTCTTGAATTTTCAAGTGTATCCTCATTTCAATTATCTCAGTCTTTCTCAGTCAAGGTAGTAATTTTGTAGGCCCTAAAATTAACTAATATTATACTATGACAAACGTTTTGATAATCAGATTTCCTTTTGTTTTCATCAATCTCAGCTTCATACTATGAGGCTTAGGAGACCTTTTCAGCATGTTTATTGACTTCTTATCTGTGCCCTTAGGGACATCCATTCTCAACTTCAGGTTATTCACCACTGCCTGCTACAAGTTGCTACCTTATCTTGTGGTCCTTTGATTCCAAATATTCAATTTTTCACTATTGTGCTTTGTCCTATTAATTTTCATTCTAGAAAATAAATGAAACAATGAAACATTCTTTCACTTGCACTAGAACAGATAATTGCAAATATGGCACATTTTTCTCAGTCTGTTGCCTATATCCCATTATTTTACACTCATTTCTGATTCATTTAAGGTTATTTGGTTGCATTTTTAAGCTGACTTTGGCTAACATTTTGGGAAAAAAAGGGAAGATATTTGAATTCTATTTGAATTCTAAAAAAATTAATCAATAACCATAAAACCAGAGGCAAGAACAAAAACTAAGTGGAGAGAACAATAGAAAATTCAAAAAATCCTGTGATACAAACCCACAGCCAATATTATATTAAATGGGCAAAAGTTGGAAGCATTCCCGTTGAAACCCTACAAAAGGCAAGGATGCCCTCTCTCACCATTCCTATTCAACATAGTATTGCAAGTCCTAGCCAGAGCAAACAGGCAAGAGAAAGAAATAAAGGGCAAATAGGAAGAGAGGAAGTCAAAATATCTTTGTTTGCAGAAAAGAAGATTCTATATATATTAATAGAAAACCACATAGTCTTGGCCCTTCAGCTCCATCAGCTGATAAACAACCTCAGCAAGGTTTCAGGATACAATATCAATGTACAAAAATCACTAGCATTCCTATACACCAGCAACAGCCAAGCCAAGAGCCAAATCAGAAAGGCAATCCCATTCACAATTGCCACACACAAAAAAATAAAATACCTAGGAATATTGCTAACCAGGGAGATGAAAGATGTCTACAATGAAAATTACAAAACACTGCTCAAAGAAATCATGGAAGAAACAAACAAATCGAAAAACATTCCATGCTCATGGATAGGAAGAATCAAAATCATTAAAATGGACATACTGCCCAAAGCATTTTACAGATTTAGTGCTACTACTATCAAACTGCTAATGACATTGTTCACAGAACTAGAAAAAATACTATTTTAAGATGCATATGGAACCAAAAAAGAGCCTGAATAGCCCAGGCAATCCTAAGCAAAAAGAACAAAGCTAGAGGCTTTGTTACCTGTAGAAGGAAACAACAGACACTGGGGCATACTTGAGGGTGGAGGGTGGTAGGAGGGAGGAGCAAAAAAGATAACTATTGGGTACTGGGCTTAATTCCTGGGTGATGAAATAATCTGTACAACAAATCCCCATGACGCAAGTTTACCTTCACATTTACCCTCAACCTTAAAATAAAAGTTAAAAACAAACAAACAAACAAAAACCAGCAAAATTTTGTCATAGTAGAAACAAGCTTGTTAGGGCTCCAACCTTATGAAAAGAAATCTAAACATTAGTTAGTATGTGAATTGCTTAATATTCAAAGACCTGAGAGAGCATTTAATTGGCTGACACTAGCTATCTGATTGACTTCTGGCTCTGTTCTAAGTGAAAGAAAAGATCTATCTGGTTCTTTGGCATCTATAGTGGAAAAATTTACCATCCCATACAAATGGAGGTGAGGATTACACCAAAGGAAATCCACCTGCTCTTTAGATGGGGTAGAATGAAAAATGAGCGACCAAGAAATATCAAAGATCTAACACAGAGATCCTATCCAATATTTGTTTCCCAAATGGCAGATGTCTACTATGAAAAATTATTATTTTAATCTTGCTGGTTGAGAGTTTCCTTGTCAATGTTTTTTTTAAATTATACTTTAAGTTTTAGGGTACATGTGCACATTGTGCAGGTTAGTTACATATGTATACATGTGCCATGCTGGTGCACTGCACCCACTAACTCGTCGTCTAGCATTAGGTATATCTCCCGATGCTATCCCTCCCCCCTCCCCCCACCCCACAACAGTCCCCAGAGTGTGATATTCCCCTTCCTGTGTCCATGTGTTCTCATTGTTCAATTCCCACCTATGAGTGAGAATATGCGGTGTTTGGTTTTTTGTTCTTGTGATAGTTTACTGAGAATGATGATTTCCAATTTCATCCATGTCCCTACAAAGGACATGAACTCATCCTTTTTTATGGCTGCATAGTATTCCATGGTGTATATGTGCCACATTTTCTTAATCCAGTCTATCATTGTTGGACATTTGGGTTGGTTCCAAGTCTTTGCTATTGTGAATAATGCCGCAATAAACATACGTGTGCATGTGTCTTTATAGCAGCATGACTTATAGTCCTTTGGGTATATACCCAGTAATGGGATGGCTGGGTCAAATGGTATTTCCAGTTCTAGATCCCTGAGGAATCGCCACACTGACTTCCACAATGGTTGAACTAGCTTACAGTCCCACCAACAGTGTAAAAGTGTTCCTATTTCTCCACATCCTCTCCAGCACCTGTTGTTTCCTGACTTTTTAATGATCGCCATTCTAACTGGTGTGAGATGGTATCTCATTGTGGTTTTGATTTGCATTTCTCTAATGGCCAGTGATGATGAGCATTTTTTCATGTGTTTTTTGGCTGCATAAATGTCTTCTTTTGAGAAGTGTCTGTTCATGTCCTTTGCCCACTTTTTGATGGGGTTGTTTGTTTTTTTCTTGTAAATTTGTTTGAGTTCATTGTAGATTCTGGATATTAGCCCTTTGTCAGATGAGTAGATTGCAAAAATTTTCTCCCATTTTGTAGGTTGCCTGTTCACTGTTATGGTAGTTTCTTTTGCTGTGCAAAAGCTCTTTAGTTTAATTAGATCCCATTTGTCAATTTTGTCTTCTGTTGCCATTGCTTTTGGTGTTTTGGACATGAAGTCCTTGCCCATGCCTATGTCCTGAATGGTAATGCCTAGGTTTTCTTCTAGGGTTTTTATGGTTTTAGGTCTAACGTTTAAGTCTTTAATCCATCTTGAATTGATTTTTGTATAAGGTGTAAGGAAGGGATCCAGTTTCAGCTTTCTACATATGGCTAGCCAGTTTTCCCAGCACCATTTATTAAATAGGGAATCCTTTCCCCATTGCTTGTTTTTCTCAGGTTTGTCAAAGATCAGATAGTTGTAGATATGCGGCATTATTTCTGAGGGCTCTGTTCTGTTCCATTGATCTATATCTCTGTTTTGGTACCAGTACCATGCTGTTTTGGTTACTGTAGCCTTGTAGTATAGTTTGAAGTCAGGTAGTGTGATGCCTCCAGCTTTGTTCTTTTGGCTTAGGATTGACTTGGCGTTGCGGGCTCTTTTTTGGTTCCATATGAACTTTAAAGTAGTTTTTTCCAATTCTGTGAAGAAAGTCACTGGTAGCTTGATGGGGATGGCATTGAATCTGTAAATTACCTTGGGCAGTATGGCCATTTTCACGATATTGATTCTTCCTACCCATGAGCATGGAATGTTCTTCCATTTCTTTGTATCCTCTTTTATTTCCTTGAGCAGTGGTTTGTAGTTCTCCTTGAAGAGGTCCTTCACATCCCTTGTAAGTTGGATTCCTAGTTATTTTATTCTCTTTGAAGCAATTGTGAATGGGAGTTCACTCATGATTTGGCTCTCTGTTTGTCTGTTATTGGTGTATAAGAATGCCTGTGATTTTTGTACATTGATTTACTTCTTAGTACTTGAAATTGTACCTACAGGAAAATAAACAGATTTCTTTTTACAGAGACTGAAAGAAGAAAAGGTCAAAGCAAACTGGACTAAAAGATCTGTAACATTTAAGAAAATTATTCTCATAGTGAAGATTATAAAGCCTGTAAAAGAGCCATTTAAAGACTTTAAAGACATGCCAGGGTATTATGATGTGTGTTACTATCTCCAATTAGAGAAAGTACTTAATATCAAACAATTAGATGATGAAATTATATCTCATACTGATTAATGGAATGATTGCTAAGTACTTATAGGTTTATATGTTATTCTGTTATACTTTCATGGGTTCATGCCATTCTCCTGCCTCAGCCTCCCGAGTAGCTGGGATTACAGGCGCCCACCACCACGCCCGGCTAATTTTTTGTATTTTTAGTAGAGACGGGGTTTCACCGTGTTAGCCAGGATGGCCTCGATCTCCTGACCTCGTGATCCGCCCGCCTCGTCCTCCCGAAGTGCTGGGATTACAGGCGTGAGCCACCGCGCCCGGCCTCCTTTCTTTTTTTTAAAATTGGCCTGCTGAATTTCCATAAGGTGAAAATAAATAAGACAACCCTGATTACATTTTCAGTTTTGAAATGCCAGTAAAAAAAAAAAAAAAAAAAAAAAAGCCCATGACCAATCATACCATTAGTTTTAAAACAGGAATTGGACTAGTCTAGATAAAAGCTGCTGACTAGTACAAAGGGAAGAAGAGGCATTGATAAATTTAAATGTTAATAGGATCTATAATCATACTAAATCTTGGTTATTTTTACTATTGAGGAATTTGAGGAGAGACGTTAAAGGCTGGTGGGGATTAAGATACCTGTAGCCAAACTTAGTGAATCTTCTTTTTCTCAGCACCTTTACCTTATTATAAACAAATATCAGGAATAAAAGATGAAGTTATATAAAACAAACAAAATATTTTCCTTTGTTAACTTTCACCAGACAGGAAAGTATAGAAAATATTTGTCTGAGAGCATAATTGATGAAATTACAATGTTTTAAAATACCATAATGGTTCTTTCTTATCTTCTTATGAAACTTTAATATTTTCAAGATCGCAGATCTTTTATTTAATTTCTACCATTATGAACATGTTGCTCATTTTTTACCCTTATTCTACAAGGAAAAAATAGAGTTCCAAAATAAAGTAAAACCAATTTTGTTTCATAGATATAACTATAAAATATTTAACATCTATATTTAGAATATGAAAAAAGAAACAAATTTATTTACTAATCCATTTTAATAAATATACACTGTTGTCTTTTAAAGAGGCTAAATAAAAATATAAAAACATAAAAGACTGATGAAAAGTTGTCCTAATCATTATAACCTGATTAGTAATTCCAGATAAGCAAGTGCCTCAGTTATTACCTGCGGAGTTTATTGAAAGTTATCTATTTATTTAAATAGGTCTATTGTAAAAGTTATCTGTTTAAATATCTTAAATAGAGAAGAAACAAAGTTATTTTAAAATGTGAAAGTCAGATGGAGATAAAATTTGAGAATGTAGTGCAAATTATAAAGGTTTGGTTGTATGCAAATTATTTGAACTCCTTTTGTTTCAGTTTTCTTATAGATTAAATGGAGAAAATTGAGTCATGGTGTTTTATGTACATGTAAGACTACATACTAAATACAGGGGATTGGCTTTCTATTTCCCTTCAAAACACCTTCCAAGATGTTCTCTCCAGCAAAGCCTACAAAGTTAAAATCATATTTCTCAGTCATTCTTTAAATTCTGGATATGATGCATATTTGGCTAACCCAGATGAACTTGCTCAATTTTGGCAAGCAGAAGTGAGGCAGAGGCCACACTTTTGCTGCAGGTAAAATTTTGACTAGTGAATACTGTCCTAGAGATACTTGATTTTTTTTTCTGGCAATATTAGCAGAAGACCAGTATAAAGTCACTAGCTTTGTATGTGACAAGAGGTAGAGCTGAAGCTGGTGACAAAAAGGTGTGGCATGGTCTGCAGCTGGTGACAATAGCTGCTGCTGCAGCTGGTCATGGTGATTTTTTGCTTTTATAAGATTTCTGATTGTGGCAGAAGCTGTGTGCTTTGGGGGCTGGCAGCTAAAAAGATAGCTTCCCAATTCACTGTCCAGTGCTCAATTACAGAAAAGGTAGTAGCTTCTTTGATGGCTTGGTAGTCATTTATGGATACTCGATCTAAAGTCAGTTTCTTTTACCCTTGGATAAATCCCTTATTTCTTCAAGTGGCTTGAGGGGATAATGTATCCTGAAAAGAAACCACAGCCCTAAGGACAGATATCGATGCACAGTTTATAATTAATGGCAAAATGATCATATAATAGGGACAAAATACACATGTACACAAAATAAAGTGCACTTAATATTTTGAGCATAAGTAAAGAGTGACCTTTTTTTTTTTTTTTTGAGACGGAGTCTTGCTCTCACCCAGGCTGGAGTGCAGTGGCGCTATCTCTGCTCACCGCAACCTCCGCCTCCCGGGTTCACGCCATTCTCCTGCCTCAGCCTCCCGAGTAGCTGGGACTATAGGCGCCCGCCACCGCGCCCGGCTAATTTTTTTGTATTTTTAGTAGAGATGGGGTTTCACCGTGTTAGCCAGGATGGTCTCGATCTCCTGACCTCGTGATCCGCCCGCCTCGGCCAAAGAGTGACCTTCTTAACTATATTCTGAATGAACTTACCGTGCTGAAAAAAACTCCAAATATTGTTTCCTTTTAACAAATCAAAGTTTACGTACTGGGATATAACTGAAAAGTGAGTGGGATATAAGTTAATTTTATTCTGAATATAACATTGTTCTCTAATCATTATACCTTTGTAAGTAGGTATTCCACTTAGCAAATGCATGTGGAAATAAGTCATCCAGGTAATATTGTGCATTGTCTATCGAAGGTTCTCTGTTGATTGCTTTGTATGTTGCATTATTGCTATAAATATTTAAGTGCCATGCACTGGAGAGTATATAGAGTGAAATAAATTGCAACCAAAACCAAATGCAGTGAGGAAATATAACTTTAATAAAAATATTAAATCAAAGAAATTTATAGATTGTGGCCAACTATGTCCTTTTTCTCAAAAAGAAATTTACATTAACTTACAGCAACATGTGTGCAGTCTACATTTGATTGCTCCCAAGTTATTTGAAAAGTCTCCAAACAACATTGAATGCATTTAAAAACACATGGTACTGCTATTGCGTTTTGGAAAAACAGCTATCGTAAGTCACCTTGTGGTCATCAAGAACCAAGTCAGCTTAAATAGCAATAACCAGCAGATGTATGACAAAGGCAGGAAAACTGAGTCTTTGGCTTCTGCCTCCAGCAAAGTAACAGGAAATGAACAGCTCAGGACATATGGGCAGACTACATATTCCACTTTAATTTTTTTTTTACTAAAACAAGAACTATTGCACAGGACATGCTTCATACCCTTCAGTTAAAGCAGCTATAATCACCAATATTGCAATGTGTTGTTCCTACAAGCAATGTTTTTATATAAAGTTATTAAAAGACAAAAGGGCTTTTATTGTTTTATGTATTTTCAAACTGCTACTCAAGTTTTATACTTTGTAAGATTTTTTTAAAAAAAAGCAGTTATGTAAATTTTGGTTTCTCACATTGAAATGATGAAAATCTTATTTAAAATTTCATAAGATTCCATAAAAGCTGTCCTTCTGAATCATAGATGGAGAATTTTAAACAGTAAAGGATCTTGCAGCTTATTACGTCTTGTCCCGCAAACCTCACAACCTCAACAATTATAAAATAAGGAAGCAGTCTCATTTTAGTTAAGAGATTTAACTGAGGTCACATCTACTGTGTATTAATTAGCAATTTGCTTAAATATACCATAATTATGAACATTTATTTTAAAATATACATATTTTCTTTATCTTTCTACCTCTGTCTTTATCTAATATCTTTCACATAAGCACATATAATTTTGTCTCACAAGACTAGGAAAGAGCAGTGCATGGGCAATTTTTTACTTTACTATAGACATAGTTTTTGAGGTCAGGCCTGAGTAATGAATGAGAAAATCTTACAGACACATTTGAAATATGAATGGGTTTTGCCACTGTTCTAGCCAAGGGACAGTGCTGGTCTTCCCTTCATCCTCATTTAGACTACTAAAGGGACAGTTCATCTCATTCTCCCATCTTTCATCCTGAACCAGAGTAAGCATAGTCACTAAAAAGATGTGGGTAGTTCAGGTGAGGTACTTGAATGGAGATAAGCAGAATATTGGAGGAAAAGCAAGTTCTCCTTTTGTTGGGTAATTTAAGTGTACAGGAGTGGCTTCAGTTGGCAAACTACAAGAAAGAGTAACGGGGCTCTGAGATTCTTCAACATTGGATGGGTAAGAGATGAACTGCAAATCTTGGTGGGCTTCCACTAGACTTTCTTGTCCTGGTTGGGTGGAGAAGATGCTCAACAGTTCCTAAAGCGGACTCCAGTCCTCTCTCTGGGAACCTCTAATGGCCAGTTCTTTGATTTTATGGCCTATAATACTTCTAAGGTCATAGCTTCTCTTCTCATCAAGGAGGGTTTCATCTCTTCTCCCCAAGGAGTGGGTATGGGTGACTTTTCTGCCTCTATTCTCCTTTAATCTCTTGTTTTGGGTTTAGCCACTATCCTCAGCTTTTCTTCAGGGTCTTCCTTTTGATCCTAAAGAGCATATCTGTCAAACACAAAATATTCTTTTTTTCATTTTTATTAAAGAATATGCTTGCACTAGCAATGCTGATTCTTCTCCAGACAATGCAAATGAGGCTGAATGCCTATAAGGTGACAATTTAGAAAAATAAAAGTATGATGGTTAATATTTCACACATAAGTAGAAGGTTAATTAATATTAATTGATAAATTAATATTTCATATATAAGTAAAATGTTTTTAGTTCCTAGCCTAAAGCTACTGAGGATTATAAGATTCCCACTTCTGCCACAGAATATATTACCTCTTATTTGTAGTCACTCTGCAACAGGGAATTTGGTGGAAGTCAGAAACAGTACGTTCATCTTGATGATGTCCACAGATTTCAACAAATTTATGAGCCAGCTTATATTAATAGCTTAAGGGTTGGAACATATTTTTAGAAAAATTGTGCACTTTAATAACTATGTTTACAGTAACTTCTGATAAAGTAATGAAAATTTATTCATGACTATTTTACTGGCACTGGCACTAGCAATGTTGAGCTTGACGAAGTCTAGTGTGAATAACAGAAATAGGTCAGAAGATACTGCAGAAGGGATTCATGGTTGTAGGAGAAACAAATGAGAACCCCTGAATGCACATAACCATTGCCTTCTGAGCTATTCACAAATATTTTTATGAGATAAATATCAAGACCATACCATATCTCCCCACTCTTTCATCCTTCTACATATTGAATGCCTATTGTACCAGATATTAAATTCTTCCTTGAATGAAACCATTGAATCCTTATTATAGTATTCCGTGTGCGTAAAATTTTCCACATATTAGGGAGTAGTGAACTGAGGCAAAAGGTAGTGAAGATGACATAATATGAACAAAACCAAACTCCCCAAAATATTCTCCAGCCTCCAAGTGCAGCAGTATGTGCATCACATCACAGATGCCTCTGGAGCTGCTAGCAACTTGAGAATCTGTGCTGCCCTCTGCCTGTACGCAATGTGAGGTTTTTTTAAAAAATAATAATAATCAATGGCATGTATTGACCACTTACCACATACTCTTACAAGCACTTTATATGCATTTTTAAATTTAATTATTAATATAAAAAGACAGTCATTTATTTTCTGCTTAGGAAAACTGAAGCTATGAATGATTCAGTAATTTCCTAAAATCACACACTTATGCCTAGGGTAGTATCAAACACAAGCAGTTGGACTTCAGAGCACTTACTACTAAACATTAGACCACAAATCAAAGGATAATGTCAAAAACACCCACAGTCTTTGTTTCTGGTTTCTTGGGGAAGCATTTGTATTAATTTGTGCATTGTAATATGTGTTCTATCTACAAACATTTTGTACCAAACTCATAAATGCAGTACTTGTCAATTTTATTGGAAATAGTTAGACTGAAGTTAATCAATTAAAAAATCTACATGTAGCAGTCCCTTCTTATCTGTGGTTTCTTTTTCTGTGGTTTCAGTTACCTGCAATCAACTGTGATCCGAAAATTGTTACATGAAAAATTCCACAAACGAACAATTCATAAGTTTTAAATTAGGCATCCTTCTGAGTAGTGCGATGAAGTTTCATGCTGTCCCACTCTGTCCTGCCCAGAACATGAATCATCCCTTCCTCCTGCTTATCTGTGAGTCCACGCAGCAATCTGGACAGAGCTGGAGGCTATTATCTTAAATAGAACAACTCAGAAACAGAAAGTCCAGTACTGCAGGTTCTCACTTATAAGTGGATGCTAAACAATGTGTGCACATGGATATACAGTGCGGATTAATAGACATTGAAGACTCAGAAGAATGGGGTTGGGTGAAGGACTAGTAATTACTTAATCAGTATGTGTATTATTTAGGTGATGGTTACAATAAGAGGCTAGATTTCACCAGTGTCCAATATATCCATGTAACACAACTATACTTGGACTCCTTAAATTTATACAAAATTTTTTAAAGTGATTACTTTTTTTGGAATATTCAAAATATATGGATTATCTGAGTAAAGAATAGTATCATTCTTTTATTTATTTATTTACATTTGTAGGTATTCAGAGGAAAATTATTGAATTAATATTCACTCATATACACAACTGACTTGTAGTCTATTAATGAATAAAATACCCATGATAAAATAAGGACTATTGCTGTTCTAAGGACTGAGTTACTTGTTCTATTGGAAAGCATTGCATTTTCCCCAAAGTTGCTTTGAGACATGGTTTTTATGTTGAGGAAGTGGAAGCACTTTCTGCAAGCAGTCAATTGTAATCTGTTTTTTGTTAAAGAAGAAAGAGCAATTAGGAATGTCTTAATGTTATTTCAAATTACGTAGCAGCACCTATGCCATAGTTGAGTCAGAAATAGTTTCTTTTCTTTCTTCTCCTGGTGACATCTTTAAATTACTGGTTTTCTCTTAGCTAAAGAACTGGAGAATTTATATACTGGAGTGTTGGTTGAACTCTACCCAACTGCTTTTTAAAAGTTCAAAAATCATGAAAAATTACTTTCAACTTTCTGAATCTACAACTTTTAGTTCTTTCACATCTGCTCAAAACAGCCCTTCTAATGAACAAATTGGATTAGCGGTATGAGATCAGATCAATTATTTTTTGATAAAGTTACATTGTTTGATAGATTTATACCTATGATGGTAACTATGATGCTGGTAATGACTAAATTTATTAAAAGTAAAATGATGATTTGTTGTGCACTTACACCTTTTATCTTTAATCAGCTCTTCATTATCATTTAATTCAGTTTTTTCTATTTTATTTTATGTCTCCTGGGCATGGTGGCTCATGCTTGTAATCCCAGCACTTTGGGAGGCCAAGGCGGGAGGATCACCTGATGTCAAGAGTTCAAGACCAGCCTGGCCAACATGGTGAAACCCCGTCTCACTAAAAATACAAAAATTAGCTGGGCACAGTGGCACATACCTGTACTCCCAGCTACTTGGGAGGCTGAGGCTGGGGCTTGAACCCAGGAGGTGGAGGTTGCAGTGAGCCGAGATCATGCCACTGCACTCTAGCCTGGGCAACAGAGCGAGACTTTGTCTCAAAAATAATAAATAAATAAATAAATAAATAAATAAATAAATAAATAAATAAAATAAAAACTTTTTATGTTTAAGCCAATAGTTCAGATAATTCAGGTTTTTCAATAGGGGTCAGCATAGAATATTTTCTCAATATTCTTCAAGAATTGAATGACTCTTTCATTTAAATATAATTTTATTTGAAAACCTCATATTTTTAACTCAAAACCAAATATAGCCTATAGACAAAGGTATATTTAAAATTTTAAACAAAAGCAAAATATGGCATGCAGAATTCATTAGGCCATCAATTTACTGTCTCAGTAGTAAGAAAGGGGGGCAGTGTACATTTGAATGATCAAATCATATAGTTTTACTAAACTACTGAATCTGAGTAATTACAGATTACATTTCAAGAGGACTTTAGCTGATTTACAAATTTAGTAGAAATCATATAAAACGAGGTGGCTTTACATAAATTAGATTAAAAATTTGTGGTGGTTAAAACTCAAACACCAGACAACTCCAAAATCAAATGAATCCAGCAACAAAAGAATAGTTACTTTTTATGTAAGCATCTAGAAATCTCAATTGAATTTTTATATAATGCTTCCTTCATGTAGACTATTTTTCATAAGGATATATTAGAGTTAAACCTTTGGCAAAAAAAGTTATTTGGAAGGAAATTAGTGATACATTTTCTCAATGATTTTATTAATTAAAATTAATCTGTTAATTTCATTTACTGTGACTATTTATATGTTTGAATTAGACTCCACCATGTTGCTTGCTGTTTTTTGTTTGTTCCCTCTGTTCTTTGTTTTCCCTTTTCTTTTTCCAATTTTTCTTGGGTAATTGTGAATTTTTATAAGTTCATTTTATCCTTAATAATGGCTTATTGCTTATTTCTCTTTAAAAATGAATGGTTCCCTGGGATTTGAAATATAATATTCAATCAGAATGTAGCTCAAAATAATATTATGCCACTATATGTATGGTACAATAATCTTATTCTCTTTCACATTGCTAATATTGCTAGTAGAACTATAAAATAATTTATGTTTTAAAAAATAATGTATCTATACGTTAAAAACATCAAAATCCAAAAGCTCAAATCAGAAAAATCTAATCTAATCTAAGATATAATTTGAAGAACAGAAACTTACTATAAAAACTTTTTAATATAGCATCACTTATAGCCAAAAAAGAAACTATCTTCTAATAATTAGAGAAATAATTATGGTTAATTATGCAAATATTATTACAAGGTGTTAGAAATTACTTTTTGGTAATTAAAATTGACATTTCAATGAGAAATGGTTCAGGGTATGCTTAAATCTAAGGAAAAAAGTAACAAAATTATGCATGCAGTAGGATACATATATATAAATAAAAACAATGTTAGAAAAGTAACTAGAAGCAAAATGCAAAAACAGTTAAAATTTACAATACAATTTCTTAAATACTAAGGTAAGTTTGAATTACGTCTAAATGAGTAAATAAATAAGAAAATCCAATTTTTCTGTAAAATGAGATTAATGAGTGGGTACCAACTCCACTAAAAGTATAAAACTGTGAAATTGCTTTAAAAATTAAAATAATATTTCGGTGGTTCAGGAGTAGATCAATACAATAGAAAATAAATCTACTAAATAAACTCTTGCATTTGCAAGACTTTAGAAAATTGTACAGATGATATCTAAAATTAATTTAGAAAAGACAGAATAGACTAGCATAGAAGGTAGAGGTTATAAATAGCTGCTTTACAATCCTGGGTTTTTATGATAAATGTCAAAATTATTATTTATTTGACATTGTACAAGTTAAGTAAATTTGCGTGCTGTAAGTATCTGTACTAGGGCTTGTTAAGAAAATTGTTTATTGACAAGTTTGACATACTTAATACACAGCAGCTATTATTATTAGCGTTATTTTTATTCTATTAACGTTCCTGGAAAACAAGTCAGCTCATACACAAAGGCACACCTACACATGCACACATGAAGAAGGTCAAAGTATTATGAAAACAAAATCCAAAAAAGTTACTGTATCTTGTATGTGAAGCTATGAATTATACACAATAAGCTTTTCAAAAAAGGAAAATATTTATAGATCCGTCTACATAAATTTCAAAATCCTTTGCACAAAAATATATGGCAATCTTGGCTTACCTTAAAATTGAAATGACCAAATATACTGTTAAAATAGAAAAGAATCTCTATTTATGCAAGAACTTAAGAAAATATGACATGTATAAAAGTTTGGGATACTTCAGATGACGTAATTTAAGAGCAACCTGCCTAAGGGAGGGACGATTTATCTACTAGATACAATATGAGAAATAAAACTTCACATACTTAGTTTGACTGCTCCCATAAAAACCTTTTAAAAATAGATATGGCTGTACTTCCTTCTTCACTTCCTCCCTCTGTCCCTCTCTCTCTTCATTCCTTCCTGAATAATTAAGTGAAAAATAATAATAAGAAGGCAATTCCAAGTGAGGAAGGGAATTCAGCAGAGGTCAGAATGATGCTGTGCTGGTAAACAGATTATCTGAAAAAAAGCACTGATTTGTAGCATTTGCCAATTTCTGTAATGTCAATACACCAATCATAGCTGATTTCAAGCTACTGACAATTCAATAACTGTCTTGTATCATTTATAAATTCTTAAAAATCAGCTCCTGTGAGCCTGAATGAGCCAACTACAGCACATCATGGGGTCAAAGCCCCTGAGAAGGTGAGTACATAGCCAAAGGTCAAGAGATTGATTATGGATTAGTTGTGGCCTGGAGCTGGTTCCACTGACTTGTGAGAAGTCAGTTGTGTGTATCTCTTCCCAACTGTGCTTTCAATGAATTCAAGTTGATAATCTGAAATCAGCTATGGTGGGAATATTTATATTACAGAAAATTGACAAAGATTAAAAATCAGGGATGTTGTGAGCCTTTTTTTGCATAAAGAGATTGGAAATAAAATTCTATAATAACTGAAAATAGTTGGGTCTGAAAAGCAATAAAGTATATTAAAATTTCTGGCAAACTTGTTCAATTTTTATGGGTTTATTCAGAAAATTTTTAATAAAGACTTAGGAATCTTTTACCACTAAATATTATGTTAATGCAAGACTATATTTTTTCCTTTGTTAAAATTAACACTGACCAGCACATCACTACATACAGGAAAGATGGCCAGTATTTGGGGTTAGGCTTCCCATGCTTGGAGATGAGTGTCACAAACTTGTCACAGGTCAAATCTAGGACAAATAAATAAATAAATGTGGATGAGCCAGGCAAAGAATAGCCAGGCACTGAGCAACATGACAAAACCCTGTGTCTACAAAAAAATAAAAAAATTAGCAGGGCGTGGTATCAAGCACCAGTGGTTCCACCTACTCAGGAGGCTGAAATAGGAGGATCACCAGAGCCTGGGAAGTCAAGGTGACAGTAAACCATGATTACACTACTACACTCAGCCTGGGTGACAGAGCGAGGCCCGGGTTCAAAAATAAATAAATAAATAAATAAAAACTAAAAATAGATAAAAATTGGAAAATTGGATCCTTTAGTTATAAAATGTAGAACTGGGCAGTTGATAAAATTTTAATGAGGCCTCTTGATTAGGGTATATGAGAATTCTTTGCATTATTCTTCTACCTCATTTAAAATTGTTTCAAGTTTAAAACTAGTTGAATAAAAAGTTAAAACCAAAATGAAATTTAAAATATAATAATTGAATAACAAAACAAAACAAAAATACTTTTGGCCTGTGAAAATCTTTGATTTTGTTGACTATCTTGAGTTTATCACATTTTTGGAATCATGTTTGATTGCAATTGAGTCTGATTTTAAGAGGAAAATAATTTATAATACATAGGAGTATACAAGCACTCACTTCAATTCCATTTTCAGAGTCATTCTGCTCTGACTCCAAACCCCATGGCATCTTGCAATGCAAAATGTACGTATATGGAGAAAAGTTTCGTTACTGACTTGTGCTTGAACATTATTTCTGTTGATATTTTAACTTATACATTGCCAATATGATTGATAACAGAGCTTTCCAAATTTGAAGTTATTTAAAAATTTGTATAAGTTGAAATAGATCCCTATTAGAGTAATACAGGAAATTAGAGGCATTACAAAGCAAATAGTTGGTTGAAGCATCAGAGAAATAACAAGAATAAGATCCAAAACACAAACGTCACTAGTCATTCAACCTATATGGGGGAAAAAAGTCTTTAACAGAAAATGAGAGAAGTTAGAAAATAACATTTTCCTGATAAGTACAATTTTATCGTATAGCAAGCTTTCATATTGTGGAAGTTAGGCCTTTAAAATACTAGGTTTCTACAAAAAGTGGCATACTCTTCCATTGATAGTAATTGGATATAATAAAAATAAATATAATTATGTCCTAGACTTTTCCACCCTTTGATGGAATTTTTTACTAGAAGCTTTTTAAATTTAAATTTAAAATTTTTAAATATTTTAGAGTGTGTACTTCTAATTTACTGAGGAAGAATAGAGTTAGTAGCAGTTTTGTAATCTGTCCAAGGCCACACACTATTGAAGCAATAATTCCACAGGGGCAGTATTATTCTGAACAGTTCCCTTAATCCCTCATGGAAAAATATATGCTCATAATTTAAAATTATTTTACTTTCTTTTCATTTTTGCATGGATCTTGGTGAGTTTTAGTCATTTTTACATCACTGGTTTTATATTCTATATGCTATTCAACATTATAAATGTGAATTACACAGTTAGAACAAATATTAATTTCAAAATGTAAAATGTGATACATTTTGAATAAAATAAAAGTTTATTAAGTGCATAGTAGATGTAGAAATCCTACAGAATTAAATTGTAGATATTGCAATAAATTATATATATTGTTATATTTATATTATAAAACAATATACAATATACATTACAGAATATAAATATATACTAGCATTTATATATACCATGGTATCTACTCTAGATAATTCAGTATATGGAGTTTAGTTATATGTACATTTAACGTGTGTTTTTTAAAATAACTGCAATATCAACAGCTTTCTTGAAGGAATAGAAGCAAACAGTGGCCTTAGATAAGGCAGAAAGTAGGTCATCATTTTGTAACTCATCAAGGTTTGGCTGTGGGATTTCTCCACTTCCCTGATGAATAATGTACCACAGAGAAAATTTGATGAGCAGTTGCCTTATTCTTTTTCTAATTGGTGAGGAAACTTCTTCACCCTTCTTCTGAATCATAACCACCACTATCTATGTGGCATCCTACCATCCAAATAGACATTTGCTGAAAAAAATACAATCACACATACAATTTTCCTTTAAAATTATGATCCATTGGAATCAGATAGAGGCACTAGGCAGGTAAACTCTAATCATGATTGAAACAAGACTTATATCTTATTTCCAAATCTGAAATAGAAGAAACCAAAAAGAAATCCAGTCATCCTCTTGTATCAGTTACATATTCTTATCAAGAATTTTTTGAATCTTGAGTTAATATGCGAGATCATCTTCACAAAATAAAGTGGAGATTAAATAATAACAGAAAAAAATCATTTTTTGCAAATGCTTTTGAACTGAATTGAATTGGATTGAATTTTCTCTTCTCTATATTGTTCATTTAATGTTGGAATGTCCAAGATGAATTTACCAGACACCTTGGAATCCTACTGTTTAGACGCCCACCTAAGCAGCTGACGTCACCTTTTACAGGCTATGGAAGATAAACTGCATTTGTGAAAGAGCTGTTCTTCAGTTATGAAAAAGGACTGAGGAATCAATTGTGAATGGACTTGGGCAACTTTGTTGGTTCAGTTTATAAACAGTTTGAAAAGTTTTGAAACTTTCCCAGAACACTTTGGCTCAGAGACAACTGTGTAAAACTATATAAAAACAAACTTAGTGCTCACATTGTCCCTAACTGCTGCAGTATGACAGATATTTTCCTTTTAATATTTTCAGTATTTGTTGTTTAATCCTGATCTGCCATTAGATATCCCTGTTTCCCTTTCAGAGCCAGGAGAATCATGTGTACTATATAAAATAGTTTAATTTGCTTTGAAGAACAAAACACTTTTAAACAATGTAATATGTATCATGTTAATTGGTGAGTATATTTTATTACTTACACTCTATTTTTCAGAACAATTTTAGATTTAAGAAAAATTGAGAAGATCACGTAGAGCAGGGTCCCCAAACTTTTTGGCACCAGGGACTGGTTTCAGGGAAGATAGTTTTTCCACAGACTGGGGGTGGAGGTGGGGATGGGGGTGGCAGAGGTGGTGGGGTAGTTTGGGAGTGAAATTGTCCCCCCTCAGATCATCAGGCTTTAGATTCTTACAAGGAGTGCACAACCTAGATCCCTGGCATGTGCAGTTCTCAATAGGGTTTACACTCCTACGAGAATCTAATGCCACCGCTGATCTGACAGTAGGCAGAGCTCAGGGAGTAATGCAGGCTTACCCATTGCTCACGTACTGCTGTGCAGCCCAGTTCCTGAAAGGATCGCTACCAGTCTGAGGCCTGGGAGTTGGTGACCCCCGATGTAGAAAGTTCCCATATAGCCCACAGCAAGTTTCTCATGTTAATAATATTATAGATTTTTCTATGGTAAACTTGTCACAATTAATGAACCAATATTGATTAATTGTTATTAATCAAAGTCCATCATTTATTCAGATTTCTGTAGTTTACATCTAATGTCTATTTATGATCTGAGATATCATCCAAGATATCCAGTTTTCATATCTCCTCAGCCTTCTCTTGGCTATGTCAGTTTCTCAGACTTTCCTGGTTTTTTATGAACATGAGAGTCTTGAGTAGGTATTTTGTAGAATATTTCTTGATTGAAATTTGTCTGATGTTTCTTTCATTATCAGACTGGTGTATGGATTTTGGGGAGTAAAATCACAGAATTGCCATTGTTATCACATCACATCAAGGGTACATCATATTAACATAACTTACCAATAGTTAATATTGACTTTGATCATCTGGCTGAGATTGTGTTTGTCCAGTTTCTCCACAGTAAGGTTATTCTTTCCATTGCCTCAATTCTAAGTTGAAATTCTTGAAAAAAAGTCTCTATCAGCAGCTCACTCTTCATCAGTGAAGATTTACTCCTTGTGGGCAGAGTGGCTACATTATTAAGATTTCTTCTGCAAGGGAGATTTGTCTGTTCACTACCTGTATTAGTCTGTTTTCACACTGCTATAAAGACACTACCTGAGACTGAGTAATTTATAAAGAAAGAAGGTTTAATTGATTCACAGTTCTGCATGGCTGGGAAGGCCTCAGGAAAATTACAATCATAGTGGAGGGAGAGCGGGAAGCAAGGCACGTCTTACATGGTAGCAGGAGAGAGAGTGGACAGGGGAAACTGCCATTTTTAAAACCATCAGATCTCAATCATGAGAAAAACATGGGGGAAGCCTACCCCATGATCCAATCACCTCCCACCAGATCCCTCCCTCAACACATTGGGATTACAATTTGAGATGAGATTTGGGTGGGGACACAGAGCAAAACCATATTACTACCATTTGTTCATTCATTCCACAATTTATTGATATCTATATAAACTCATGAGTGTTTATTTTATACCCTGGGTTATAGTTTAATACTGCTTTATTTTGTTGCTCAAATTCCTTTGAATTGGGAAATTTTTCAGTGGGCTCCTATGTCCCTTTGACATGCACCCATAAATGGAGAGATAGTGGGCTTTTCTGCTGCTGTTGTTGTTGCTGTTTTTATTTATTCATTTATTTTCCTTTTTTTTAAGCACTGCCTTTCTTCCTGGCATTATAAGATGCTCCAAGAGTATCTTGTATCATTCCTGCTTCAGTTCTAGAATGAATTATTTCTCTAAAGAACTCAGGATCCTTCTATTGGAGAATAGTATTGGAAATCAAGAATTGGGTGCTAGGTATGCTTTTTGCTACTCAGGTAACACTTCTTCTATGCGTTCTCTATTCGTCCATACTCGCACTGCTATAACGAATTACCTGAGACTGGGTAATTTATAAAGAAAAGATGTTTAATTCACTCACAGTTCCACAGGCTGTAAAGGAAGCATAATGGTTACTGTGGAGGCCTCAGGAAACTTTCAATGAAAGCAGAATGTGAAGGGGAAGCAGGCACATCTTACATGGCTGGAGCAGGAGGAAGAGAGAACAAGAGAGGAGGTGCTACACACTTTTAAACAGCCAGATCTTGTGAGAACTCACTCACTATATTGTACTAAGGGGGACGGTGTTAAACCATTCATGAGAACTCCACCCTTATAATTCAATCACCTCCCACTAGGCCCTACCTTCAACACTGGGGAGTAGAATTCAACATGAGATTTGGATGGGGACAGAGATTCAAACCATATCACTTTCCTAACTTACAGAACAACTAATCCATGTGTATATACATATATGTGTAAATATTTCCATAGTATGTACCCCCTGTAGGTATATTGACTTAAACATGAGTTTTTAGAATATCTCCAACTCTAATATATTACCGTTTAGATAATTTGAGCATTTTCTCCTTGCCGTACTCCAGAATTGCCACTACAAGACTAACAAACCTGGATCCCACTATTCACAATCCATTTACCTAAATCTTTAATTTCTTTCATTAGAGCTTTGAAGTTTTCTATATATAGAACCTCTGCATATTTTGTTAAATTTATTCCTATGTATTGATTTCATTTTGGGCTACTATTGTTAATGTTCTTAATTTCAAATGTTCTTAATTTCAAGTTATCATTCATTGCTGCTCTATATGAAAGCAATTAACTTATACATATTACCCTTGTATCATGTGACCTTGCTATGATCCCTTATTAGTACCAAGAGAATTTTTATTGATTCTTTGGTATTTACTACATAGACAATCATGTCATTTATGAACAAAGATTTATTTCTTCATTCCCAAGCTGTATACATTTTATTTTCTTGTTTTGTTTTACCGCATTAACTAAAGCTTTCTGTATGTTGTCGAATGGGAGTTATGAAAGGGGACATTCCTGACTTGTTCCTAATCTTAGGAGGAAATTATCTTGTTTTATACCATTAAGAATGAAGATGATAACTACCGATTTTTTGCAAATGTTCTTTATCAAGTTGAAGTTCCCCTGTATTTTGTTTGCTGAGATTTAAAAAAATTATTAATGAGAGTTGGATTATGTTGAATGTTTTTGCTACATCTATTGATATGATCATATGATTTTTGTTCTTTAGTCTATTGATGTGGAGGATTAAATTAACTGAATTTCTGGTGTTGAATTGCTTTTCATACCTGGAATAAATACCATTTTGCTGTAGTATATAATTCTTTTTGTACAGTGTTGGATTAAATTAGCTAATGTATTGTCAAGGATTTTGCATCTATCGTTTGAGATATTGGTCTGTGGTTTTCATTTCTTGTAGTATTTTGTGTGTGTGTGTGTTTCAATAAGGGTAATGCTAGCTTCAAAAAATGAATTAGTAAGTATTCCCTCTTCTTTAATTTTGTGGAGGAAATTGTAAATAATTGTTATCATTTCTTCCTAAAATGCTTGATAGAATTTACCAATGAAATAATCTGAGCCTTCTGTTTCATTTTTAGAAGATTAATAGTTACTAATTAAATTTTAATTTATTTAACTGATATAGGCCTGTTTGTATAATTTATTTCTGTTTTTGTCAATTTTGGTAGTTTGTCTTTCAAGGAATTGGTCTATTACAAATTAATTATCAAATATGGAGGCATAAAGTTATTTCTTTATTTTCCTTTACTGTTCCTGGAATCAGCATTGATGACCACTTTTTCATTTTTAATATTAGTAATATGTATGTTCTCTATTTTTTTGTTAGCCTAGCTAGAGACTTTTCAATTTTATTAATCATTTCAAAGAACTGGTTTTTTGTTTCATTGCTATTATCCCTTGTTCTTCACGTTTTCAATTTTATTGATTTCTTCTCTAATTTATTTTTCTGTTTACTGTAGACTTAAATTGTTCTTTCCTCTCTAGTTTACTTTGTTTATTTATTTATTTTGAGACAAGCTCTCACTCTGTCATCCAGGCTAGAGTGTAGTGGTGCAAACAGGCCTCACTGTAGCCTCCACTTCCTGGGCTGAAAGGATCCTCCTAACTCAGTCCCCCACAGTAGCTGGGATTATAAGCATGTGCCACCACACCTGCCTAATTTTTTTCTTTCATAGATAGTGTCTTATTATGTTACCCAGGCTGGTCTCAAACTCCTGGGCTCAAGTGATCTTACTGCCTCAGCCTCCCAAATTGCTACTATTACAGGTGCGAGCAACTGTACCTGGCCCACTATGTATAAGTTTAGATTAATTATTTTATACCTTTCTTCTTTTCTAATACATGCATATAATGCTATACATTTTCTTCTCATCACTGTTTTCTTTATATTTCACACATTTTTAAAAGTTGTATTTTCACCTACTAAAAAATATTTTTAGTGTCTCTAGTTTTTATTGATATAAATATTGATATACATATTTATGGGCTTCATGTGAAATTCTGTTATGTGCATAGAATGTGTAATGATCAAGTCAGGGTACTCAGGGATCTATCACCTGAGTATTTATAATTTCTATGTGTTGAGTACATTTCAGGTCCCCTCCTCTAGCTATTTAAAAAAAAAAAAAAAGCAATACATTGTTGGTAACTATAGTCACCTGACTCTGCTATGAAACATTCGAATTTATTCTTTCTACCTATCTATATGTTTGTACCCATTAAGCATCCTGTCTTCATCTTCGCTACACCCAGTATACACCCTTCCCATTTCTGGTATCATTCATTTCACACTCTACCTCAATGTGGTCAACTTTTCGAACTCCCACATATAAATGAGAACATGCAATATTTGTCTTTCTGTGCCTCGGTTATTTCACTTAATAACTCCGGTTCCATTCATACTACTGCAAACGACATGATTTCATAAGTTTTTGTGGTTGAATAATATTTTACTATATATATGTACCACATTTTCTTTATCCATTTGTCTGTTGATAGACACAAGTTAGTTCCTTATCTTTGCTACTGTTAATAATGCTGCAATAAGCATGGGAGTGCATGTTTCCCTTTCATATATTGATTTCTTTTCCTTCGGATAAATACCCAGTAGTTGGATTGCTGGATTTAAAAAAAAATTCTGTTTCATTTAGCTCTGTTTTATCCTTATTACTTATCTTTTGCTATTTTTTCTCTTGCTTTTATACTCCTTTGATGAGTATCATTGGATTGTTTCTTTGAAAATTTCCTACTTCTTAATGAAGGTGTTTATTGCTATAAAGTTTCCTCTTAGCACTGCTTTTGCTGTATGCCACAGGTTTTGGTATATTGTGTTTCCATTTTCAATTTTTCCAAAAATATTTTTGATTTCCATCTTCATTTCTTCACTGATCCGGTGGTCATTCAGGAGCATGTTTTTGTTCCATGTATTTGTATGATTTATGAAGTTACCGTTGGTATTGATTTCTAGTTTTATTCCATTGTGGTCTGAGAAGATAGTTGATGTAATTTTAATTTTTGTTAATTTGCTGGGACTTGTTTTATGTCTAACATATGCTCTATCCTTGAGGATGTTCTGTGTGCTGATGAGAAAAATGTGTACTTTGCATTTGTTGACAAAATGTTTTTTAAATGTTTATTAGGTCCATTTCATCTAAAGTTTAGTTTAAATTCAGTGTTCCTTTGTTGATTTTCCATCTAGATGTTCTGTCTAATGTTGAGAGTGGGATGTTGAAATCCCCAACTATTGTCGTATTGCAGTTTATTACTCTTTTTAGATATGGTGCAATTTGCTTTATGAATCTGGGTACTCCAGTGTTGGGTGCATGTATACTTAGAATAGTTATATCCCCTTGCTGGATTGATCGTGTTATAGTTATATAATGACCTTATTTGTCTTTTTGACTGTTTTTGACCTAAAATCTGTTTTATCTGATGTAAGTATAGCTACTCCTGTTCACTTCTGGTTTCAATATGTGTGGGATAACTTCTGCCATCTCTTTATTTTTAGACTATATGTGTCTTTATAGGTAAAGTGCATTTCTTGTGGCAGCATATAGTTGGATCATGTTTTTTAATCTATTCAGCCAATCTGTATGTTTTAAGTGAATAATTTAATTCATTAACATTCAAGATTATTATTGATTTGTGGGTTTTCTTTCCTGTGATACTGTTCTATATCATTGTCTCTTTTTTTCCTTATTGTTTGTCATTGTGATTTGGTGGTTTTATATAGTAGTACCATCTGAGCCCTTTTTCTTAATTGTGTGTTTGCTTTACCAGTGAGTGTTGTAGTTTCATGTTTTATGATAGTAAATTTTATCCTTTTACTTTATGTTTAGGACTCCTTTGAGAATCTCTTATAGGTCTGGTCTAGGTGATTAATTCTGTCAGCTTTTGCTTGTCTGGGAAAAATTTTCGTTTATGAAGGATAATTTTGTTGGGTATAGCACACTGGCTGGAAGATTTTTTCTTTCAACACTTTTAATATATCATCCCATTCTCTCCTGGCATGTAAGGTTTCTGCTTTGGAATCCACTCTTAGTCTGATGAGGGTATCTTTATGGGAAATTAGACACATTTTTCTTGCTGTTTTTAGAATTCTCTTTATGTCTTTCATTTTAAATGGTTTGACTATAATATGCCATGAAGATGACCATTTTGCATTTTATTTCTTCAGAGATTTCTGAGACTCTTCTATTTGGATGTCTAAATCTCTTGCTAGACTTGAAAAATTATTTTCATCTATTACTTCATGAAATAGGTTTTCTTACCCTTTTGTTACATCTTAGCCTTCTGGAATACAGATAGTTCAAGTATTTGGCCGTTTTGTAATGTCCCATGTGTCACAAAACCTTTGGTTTTCTGTTTTTATTCTTTTGGTTTAAATTTTTATCTGACTAGGTTATTTCCAAAGACAAATTTACATTATGGGTATCTTTTCTGCTGATTGATTTAGTCTATTGTTAAAACTTTCAAATATATTTTGTATTTTATTTAATAATAAATATTTCATTCCAGAATTTCTGTTTGACACTTTTTAATGGTATCTATCTCTTTGGTTAATTTCTCATTCATATTCAAATTTGTTTTTCTGATTTCTTTGTATTGTTTTTCAAAATTATCTTTTATCTTACTGAGTTTCATTAGTATCAACATTGTGATTTACTCTTTCAAGATTTTATGAATTTCTTTTTGTTTGGGTCTGTGGCTGAAGAATTATTGCATTCCTTTGGAGATGTCACATTTCCTCAATTTTTCTTTTTCTGTATTCTTATATTGATATCTGCATGTCTTGTGTAACAGTCTCTTCTTCCAATTTTTTGAATTTGCTTTCATAGAGGGGAACTTTTTTTGAAGATATATCTTTGATGCTGGTTGGGCAGGGCACTTTGGTTTCGATTTTGAGTGCATGCAGTAGTGTAGTCTCTGTATGATTTATTTGCCTGAAGGAGCGTCAGTGATGTCTATGAGTATCTTAGTGGCTTAGGGTGTTGTCAGTGGAGGCTATGATGAAGTTTTGCTAGGGACTAGGTCACCAAGTAGGCCAGTCTTTGGGCCCCAGTGGTGGCAGCAGTGAGCTGAACATGCCTGTTCTTGGGCCCCAGGTAGTGTACACTAGCACTTGCATTACTGGGTCCCAGTGGACCAATTTTGGGGCCTTCAGGTGGCTTGTTTGGGTACCAGAAATGGCAGCAGTGGGCCAGGCAGGTGGGTGGGTTCTTAAGACCCTAGACAGTGGGTATGGCACTGGTGATGGCAGTAGAAGTAGTGAAACAACCCTCCTTTCAATGCATTGGGAAGTATCTCCCTGCTCTCAGCTGCTCCTGACTGAATAGGCTGCCTCACTTCCTAGAATGACTCTTTAGACTCTTCTTTGACCCAGGTGTTACTTACACATTTTTTGATTAATATGCAAATATTTCAGAATTTTTCAACTATCCTCTGCTTATTGATTTCAAATATATTTCCTTTGTGTACCACAGATATCTTTTGTATGACTTTATTCTTTTACATTTATTAAGATGTGTTTCATGGCATAGTCTGTACCACTTTTCACAAATGTTCCTTATGAGCTTGATGAGAATATTATGCTGCTTTATTGGATACAGTGTTCTATAAATACCAATTAGACCAAATTGCTTCATAGAGCTCTTCAGGTCAACTATTTTCTCTTCAATTTTCTGACTCCTTCATGTATCAATTACTAAAAGAGGGGTTCAAAATCTTCAGATATAATACTGAGCTTGTCTATTTTTCTCTAAAATTTTGTCAGGTTTTTGCTCACGTATCTTTTATCCTCTATTATTAGGCACATACATATTTAAGGTTGGTATATTTCCTTGGATAACTGGCCTCTTTATTATAATGTAATATTTCTTTTTATCACTGATAATTTTTATTATTCAAAAGTTAGCTTTGTCTAAAATCAATGTACCTATGCCAAATATTTTTGATTGATATTAACATGGTATGTGTTTTATTATCCATTCACTTTCAATCTGTCTGTCCTTGTATATAAAATGGCTTTTTAATAGTTATTTTAAACTTATTTTTAAGCTGCTTTATTACAGTATAATTGGCACATGAAAACGTATTGTTATATAATGTATACAACTTGATTTGTTTGGGGATAAGTATACATTCATAAAATTATCAAACTATCATTTCTCAATGCCATGAACCTACCCATCTGCTCAAAAAGTTTCCTCCTGTTCCTTTAAAGTCACTTGTTTTCAGACTTTATATACTTGTGTGTTATTTGTATTCACTCCCTAATTCTCTGTCTTTAACTGGTGTGTTTAGATCATTCAAAATTAAAGTAATTATTGATATAGTTGCTGTAACATCTGTCATGTCTGTAACTGCTTTATATTCTTTGCACTTATCCTTTGTTTCTTTCATTTTCTTCCTCTGTTTTATAGCTGTTTTCCATTTCTTATTTAGCATGCTATATGATTTCACTTTCTCCTCAGCATATCAGTTATACATCTAACACATTTTTGTAATAGTTGCACTAAAGCTGACATATATTTAAAATCAATCCAAGATTACTTTTAAATAACAGTATACTGCTTCATGGGTGGCGCAGTTATTTTAAAATAGACTATTCCCAATTCTCCTCTCTTATCATTTGTAACATTCCTAACATTCATCTCACTCTTCCATATTTGCAATGACACAGTGCATATTTGGAATTATTACTTTGACTAATTATTTCTTCAAAATGAAGGAGAAATAAGAAGTTTTTTAGACAAACAAAATGTATGTTGAGATAATTAACTGCTAGCAGTACTGCAACAAATGTTGAAAAAGCTTCTCAGGAAGACAGAAAATAATATAGGCCAGAAACACATATACACATAAGGAAAGGAAAAGTATCAGAAAAAAATAAATAAATGAAGGCAATTTTAATTTTAGACAAAGCTAACTTTTGAATAAGAAAAATTACCAGTGACAAAAAGAAATATTACACTATAATCAAGAGGCCAATTATTCAAGGAGATATAACAACTTTAAACATGTATGCACCTAACAATAGAGCATTAAAATATATAATAATACTCATATTATTGCTAATATTATCTATGACATCAATCAAGAATAAGAGAACTATTTTATTTTACCTTCATTTAATTCTCCCCAAATCCATTTGTTTGTCTAAGAAACTTCTTGTTTATCCTTCATTTTGAAGAATGATTTCACTGAGTGTAGAATTCTGGGTTGATAATACTTTTCTTTCAGTAGTTTAATTTTTCTGTTTTTTTGGTTCCATTGTTTCTGACAATTAGTTTTCTGTAATTCTTATTCATTTTCCTCCTTATCCATTTCCTCCTTTGTTTAGTTCTTGCTTTCTTTCAAGATTTTCTCTTTGTCTTAATTTTTGTCGTTTTGAATATGATGTGCCTATGTGCATATTTTTAAATATTTGTCCCATTTGGTATTCTCTCAGCTTCCCAGGTATATGAATTGGCATCTGTTATAAGTTTTAGAATGTTCTCAGACATTATTATTTTAATATTTCTTCCATTCTATTTCCTCTTCCTCCTGCTTTCTCCTCCTCCTCTTCTTCTTCTATCTGAATTACACGTATTTTGCATATTTTTAAATTACCCCAGAGTTCCTATATACTATGCAGTGCCTTTTTAAATTATTTTTCTCTCATTTTATTTAAGTTTGAGACATTTCATTTGACATATATTTTAGGTTACTGATTATTTCATCAGCTGTATATACACTGTTGAGGAGATAATCGAAGCCTTTTTATTCCCTTTTCTGAGCAATTTTCCATTACATTAATGTAGATTATTTTTTATTTTATTCAGGTATTTAATTCAGATCGCTATTATCTTATCCAATGCTATTTTGACATGGCCTAAGATTTGATGCTACATAAGATTTACTAACTACTCAAGAATATATTACTTGGACATGAAAGAACTCAGGTTCAAGTTTATTCATTTACTAAGTTAGTTAAATCATGTGCCTTCTATGAGCCTTCATTTGGTAACTTGGAAAATGGAAATAATAACACTAGTCATATATATTCTACACTGCTACCATATGGACCAAAGGGATTATAGATTACAATCACCATCATTCCTGCTGACAGGTATATAGAAAACAATTTCATTGAAGAAAAGTCCTTACATTTATCCTTTTCCTAATATCTGCATGGGTAAACTAATAAATATAGTCATTAGAAAACCCTTATTATTATTATTAGTTCAATGTGAGAACTGCTGCAGAAAAAATATGCTTTATAATATTTTCTTGAATATACATAATATTCATAAATTTTCAAATCATTGAAAATTACCTTAAAATTGGAAAAAATGTGCATTTCTACTCATATAACAGTATAAAATTCCTATGTCAATCTCTTTTTTTTTTTTTTTGTTTTGAGTTGGAGTCTCGCTCTGTCGCCCAGGCTGGAGTGCAGTGGCACAATCTCAGCTCACTGCAACCTCCACCTCCCAGATTCAAGTCATTCTCCTGCCTCAGCCTCCTGAGTAGCTGGGATTACAGGCATGCGCCACCATGCCTGGCTAATTTTTGTACTTTTAGTAGGGACAGGGTTTCACCATATTGGTCAGGCTGATCTCAAACTCCCGACCTCAGAGGATCCACCTGCCTTGGCCTCCCAAAGTGCTGACGTGAGCCACCGCTCCCGGCCCCCTATGTCTATCTCTAAAAAATAGGCACTGAATTTGTTTCTTAATGTAAAGAATGAATGAATACATATTATTTTGTGAAAGGTATTTCTCTTTCAGTTGAAAAATATAGTTCTTGTATTTCTTTGTACATCAGAGAATTTTGTATATTTTCTACAACATTTATTTTTCTCTTCAGAATTGATCTAGACTCTGGAACAAATGTTTTAGCAAAAAGTATGAGGATAAAACTAGACCAATGGTTTTTAAAGCAATTTCAACTTAGTAGGTTTATTTTTAAGTAAAAATAGTCCAGTGAATTTGTTTTCAGGTGAGCAAGTCTTAATTATAGCATTTATTTGAGTCTCAGCCAATTTGAAACTATTAGAAAATTAAATACTACAAGAGAGCACAATTACTTAAATGCAGTCTTTGTTTCATTCAGTTTTTGATAGCATTATAAAAACTCATTTCGTTGTTTACAGATTTTAATTTTATTATAAATTTAAAATATTTTATATGGTGTTAAATATATAGGGATGCTGACGAATATGCATTTTTGTTTAATGTGTGCTTTCCTTGTAATGTAAAATCTTTATGTTTAATTTATCTTGTTTTTATATATTTATGTCACCATTTAACTTTGCAGAGTTATTTAATCTGTAAGGGCTTTGGAGATGATTTGTAGACTTTATTTTTGGAATCTAGTAGAGAATCAATAATTGAATACAAACGTGTGAAGTAGTTTCAATAAAATAATCAAAGTTAGATCTCTTCCCACTGAAAAGTTACATTCTATTAAAGGGAAAATCAATCATCCCTAGAGGATGTATAAGGCAAATGACTTTTTGCCCACTGGATAAACCTCATGATTTTGAATCAGTCCTTATCTTTTTACTAACAATCAATCCAGCAACCTCATTAAGATAGGTGTGATGAAATGTTAAATTTGACTCTTTGAGTTCCTCCTCTTTTCATCAAAAGTTTTATCACTTTAACAGGTGACACCTATGTGTTTATTATTATTATTAAAAGACATATATGCTTTATAGAAAATGTTTTACTAAACATGAGAAAACGTAAAAGTTTGATACAGATATATTTCTTTCAATTTGCATATGCAAGTACCAGGGAACTTAGCACTGTTTATAGTCTATAAACCATAATACACTTGCAACAATTAGTTTTAGTTAAGATAATCTCTCTACTAAAACAGGTAATATATATGTCTTATCTTTGAGAATAACAGTCTTCAATGACATTTTGAAGTTTTATTTTTTAGTCAAGTTTTCCACTCGTATATTTAATACTCAATTTTAGAGGTCAACATTGTTTTCATAATGAATAGTGTAACCAGCATGTAATAACATTAAAACTATGTTAATGCTATAAACAGAGCCACTTTCTTCCAGAAAACTTCATTTTTCCTTACAGCACTGAAATGAAGATAAAGCTCAAGTAACAACCCACACTTTTATTTCTTGTCAATAATAGTAAAAAGATAACTAGAGAATTTCATTAGCACTTTTTCAAATATAAGATATTTCTTTGACCTCCTTTCACACAGTATTTTAAATTTGCCTGGGGGAAGAACTAAAAGATTTTTCTGTTTTAATTATATTTTAATAACTTTTCCAAAGACAAATGTTGATGTTTATTTTACTGTTCCTAGTTTAAATAATATGTTTGAAGTTTAATATGATGATCTTTATGTTTATATAATTAACAAAAAAAATCTTTCTCATACTCTGAAAATAAACTAATGCTGTGCTTTTCCAACAGTTCTCTAAGCTGATTTATTTTTTTAATTTGGATTTTTGCATATATTCAAATTCCAGAATGGGGAGGCTCATAGAAATAATGAGCATTGCACTGAATGTTGCAGAATATGTATATAGTTAGATTAATAAAGAGAGAGGAACCATTTATACATTATTTAAATTTTCTTAAAATATATACAATCATTTATAATTTCTGATGACTCTCAAGAAGTGGGTCAGATAGAATATCTTTAGTACTGATTTTCTAATCTTGTACATAATACACTAATTACCCTGCAGCAGTGAGGGCATTCAGTGCTGGGACCTTTCCCAGGCTCTGAGCCTCACTCTTTCAATGTGCGCTGCCGGTCTATTAGCCATTAACAGTGTCTCAAACAGCAACTGCCAGCAACTGCAAACATCCGGCCTCTGGTGAGAGGTATAAAGGGCCAATTGATAGGAACAAACTTCAGGATGCCTAGAATTGCCAGGACAATAGCAATTTCATTCTTTGGGATTTAATAGAGAACACAAGTAAAGGAAAAACAGAAACTACTGTTGTCCTTATGTAAGATGCCATTTTAATTTGACATAATTGCAAAGATTATTTTTAATGTGGCTTTTCAAAAAATTCCTGGACGATGGCTATTTCATTCTATGAGTTAAAAAATACTTAATGGAAAACATAAATATAAAATAAGAAATTAAGAAAAAAAAACCTTGTCGTTGAGCTTATTTAACATTCTAGTTCAGTTTGACAAAATTGCACTAATATTTTTCATGTGATTTTTTTCTAAAGTTTTTTTTTAATTCAAGTATCATTGTAGAAAATCTTAACATATTTGACATGATGTTTAATAAACAATCAAGTTGATCTTATAGAAGACTGCAGATTTTTGATGTATCTGTTTTTTCCTGGTCAGAAAGCAGCTAAACAGTTATGCAGCTTCAAAGTTAGCAGGTAATTTAATAGACAAATAAATCTGTTTTTTACAACTGTGGCTTAATGCCCTTTTAGGATTACTCATTTAGTTGTTCTTCCTGTTTCCTGATCAGTTATAAATTTCCATTATCTCTGGATGACTTCTCTGCTATGATTACTTACATTACATCCCTAATTCAAAATGGTAAAAGAAAATGTAGTCTTTTTAATTATGTCATTATCTCTAACAACATATTAAATCATAACATGATGCAATCTTACAATTTTTGAATAAATTATGAAATGTTAGGAAAAAAGATAATCTTCATTTATCAAATAAATATAACTCCAGAATACATATTTTAAAACTGATATTCTCTTTCTATAAAGCAAAACTTAAAACAATGAATTATGGGTTGTCCCAATTTTATGTTTCTTAAGACTAGCTATTGTGACTAAGTAAAACATAGTATTGCATGAGATGCTACGATTAGCTGTGACATCGCTGAAAATTGTTCCTTGAGTTTGTGTCCCATTTAACTAGAATCTAACTGTGGTATATCAATGTATTTGGTGCCCAGCCACTTGGGTATGCACATGAAGAGATTGAAGAAATATAATAACCAGAAGATGTGTTTTGCCAACAATTAACTTCTAGTTATTTGATGTGAAGAGTTGGTTGATTTAAATGGTTTCTTTCTTTTTCAAGCATGAACAGAGTTTAACCTCCTTTTCGTTACGTTTCTGATAGATAGAAGAATAACAAAAAAATCCTCCAAAAATGAAAAATAAAAAAACCCTGTATCATATTATTTTAAACATATTCTCAACATTTGAGATTTTATTGAACTGTTCAACATTTTGTTTGTTTAATTAGTTAATGAAGATAAATAATAGATTAAATAACGACCGAGATGTTTTCAAACATAATACATTTTCAAAGTAGTAATTCTAAAAGATAGCTTTTACATAATGTAATAATTACTGCAGAGGAAGAAGAATGTGGGTATAAACTAAACAAAAATATATCTGTCCTTCTCAAAGCTAGAGAGGATTAGAAAATAGAAGAAAAAGATTAGAAGAGAGGAAAATGGAAATAACAAAGGAAAACAGGGTGTATATTGTTGATAGAAGACATCTCTCAAAGCGTTTCATTTTATTTTTCAGGCTGTTTGTACATGTTAAGGGAAAAACTTCATGTAAGAATTCTGGTAACTGCAACAAGATTTGGCTACACCTCTAAAATTTAGACAAGTAGAGCTCTGAGTTTTCATTTTTTCCAAAGAACATCTCAAACACTCTATACTCCAAATTATCTATAAATAATGCCATGCTAATGATTGTCTCAATCTTTTTTCACAAATGAACCAAAAATTTCTCTTGATAATACTATTTCCTTCTCCATGCAGCCCATATGCCATCGACTGTTGCCTAATGTTCATAAATGAATAATTTCTATATTCATTTTTAACAAGCAATAGATAATGTGATCATTTTAACAATTAAATTATCTCATATATTAAACTTTTAAATTTGATGAATGTCGGAGGTTACTTGTTAAATGATCAGGGATCAATAAATTGTGGCTCATAGATCAAATTTAGTCTACCACCTGTTTTGTGTAGCTTGTAAACTAACATAATTTTTGAAATTTTTAAACGAATGAAGAAAAAGGAAAATGGGGTTTTGCAAAACATGAAAATTGGCCAGTGGCTTGCGCCTGTAATCCCCACACTGTGGGAGGCCAAGGGGGCCAGATCACTTGAGGTCAGGAGTTTGAGACCAGCCTGGCCAACATGGCGAAACTTTGTCTCTACTAAAAATACAAAAATTAGCTGGGTGTAGTGGCGCATGCTTGTAATCCCAGATACTAGGGAGGTTGAGGTGGGAAAACTGCTTGAACCTGGGAGGCGGAGGTTGCAGTGAGCCGAGATTTGGCCACTACACTCTAGCCTGGGCAACAGAGTGAGACTCAGTCTCAAAACAAAACAAAAAACACATGAAAATGATATGAAATTGAAATTACCGTGTCCATAAAGTTTTATTAAAACACAGGCATAACCATTTATTTATCTATTGTGTTAAAATTCTTGCACATTATAAAAGCAGAATTTAGTATTTGCTATAGGGACTACGTGCCTGCAAATTCTAATATATTTGTTATCTGTTGCTTTTAAGATCTGGCCCTTTTACAGAAAATTTTGCTGATTCCTGGTTTAGATAAATCTATTGTAAACATGGACATTAAGCTATTGTTTGATGACTTGTTCATTTGTCCAGTAAACTTATACATATATACTTTCTTGTATAATACCTTTTAAAATATATTTTATTAGTTTCTAGGTCTACATTTTTTGGGACATATAATAATATGCTTCTTGCTTTTAAGTAAAATAAAATTAAATATACATGACTGTTAGAAATCTTCTAAGAGTTAAAGAGAATAAGACAAACTAATGATAATAATACCTTCAATTTTTAGAAACGTTTAAGGGTTTAATTCAAAATGCAGAATCACATATTTAATATCATTTGATTCCAACAGAGTTTTAGTGAAGTAAGCAAATCAGATATCATGTCTGTGTTATATGAATGTACACATTGACTGAAAGTTATGACTTTTCCAAGATAAAGCATCAGAGGTAACTTTACCATGACAAAGTGATATACTTTTCAATATATTACAGTGACAATGGTCATGAAAAACTTCACTATAGTATTTTAATTGGGCAGTGAAGAATCTTGCAGTTGGATTCAATAGAGAGACACTGGAAAAAGAATACACAGAAGAGGCAAAACTGAAATAGCACTAAGTGGAGGTACAAAGATTTGTTAGGCAAATGATAAATAATACACAAATATTGTTGAAGTGTAGTGTTTAAATATTGGTAATTGTAAAATGATAACGTTTCAATGACAAGTGTGACTTTTGGAATTCTTAATAAAAATTTGAAATTAAATCACTTAAATATAACATACAATCTCCGATTCAGATAAAACAATTACATTGGGAAACCCTGCATTTGCTAACTGTGGGAAGAATAAACATAGTACATGGTGCTGGAGGAAAGACAGAAAGTGGGTGGTCTTGAATGCTAGACATTTGAGGTACTATATGTCCATAACATTTTACTCAAAGCCTTTTGTGACATTTTTCTTTTGTTTTGTTTCTTGTCATTTTCTTTCTTGTCTACATTACCTTCTTTTCCTCTATCTTTCTTTCTTTCATTGTTCTAGTTTTATTTCTGTGATTGCTGTTAAAATGGTACATATGAAGTATATTAAATGTATGGTACACAAATGAACTCAGAGGCAGTACCTTATGACCAAATACGGTACTATATCTGCAACAAAACATACAAATATTATTTCTGAGTGGAAAAAAATGACTAAACAGTCTAAGTACAATGTAGGTCAGGCATTACTTTTAAATGAATTTGCCCCAAACATATACATATTTTTTTTTCTTTTCACAACTACTGGCATATTTGCAATTATGAATAAGAGATTGAGAATTTATACTAAATTTTGGAGAAATGTAAACTATTAAAGATCTTTGAGCAAAATTTTGGTAGCTTGTTTCTTAATTATTTCCTTTGTTTTTGAATACAGAATAGAACTGAAGTGAGAGAGAACCTACAGGTAGAGAGAACAATCTATGAACTATAGTATAATTTGCACAAAGTGCTATAGGCTTGAACTAAATGCTAAAGATAGAAATCAGAGGAATAAATTGATCTAAAAGAGGTTGGAATAAATTTGACAAGATTTAATGGCCCCTTCATTATACTTGTTGATGCACTTAAATCTCTATAAATCCAGATTGCACATTCTCAGAATAATAATTTTTAAAAATTTTTAATATTTAATCTCTGTGATGAACATGGAAAGATTATGAATGGAATCAGTTAGTAACAAGTCAGATCACTAAAGATAGCTTCAGAAAGATCTACCCCTGTCTAGTATCAGCACAAATAAAAAATAATTAAGTCCCTACCATTAAATAAACTTTTATTTAACACTTACTATTTTCCTCATGCTATGTGAGACAGAGGACACAAATGTAAAAAAGACAGTCTCTTTTTTTTAAGCCACAGTATTGGAGAAATAAATATATACAAATAATCCCAATTTAGAGTGATAAATGGCATAGCAGTTGAGTATAAAAGGTAGAAAAGGTGAAGGGAAAAAAAGGTAAATTCTTTCTGATGCCTCTAATTACAGAGTAGGGAGAGTGAAAATCAGAAACATTTAGATAAAAAATATACAGCTGAACTGAATCCAAAAGAATGATTTCCACATAGAAAGGAGAGTAAATAATGTTTGCAAACATGCAGACCTGCAGAAGATCACAAGGTGTATAGCGGAACCAAGTAACTTAAAATGTGCAGAATGTGAGCTAAGTTTAAGAAAGAGCCAGAGATAAAACTGAAAAGAAAGGAAAGGTCAAGGTTAAAAAAAAGGCATACTTAGAAGCTCACTTTGGTTACTCTTTATAGGAAAGAATTGGATTGGGAGGGTGAAGCTTTGTATCTTGGCATGAGTCTAGTTTAAAAAAAAAAGACTATTCAGAAATTGAGATAATGTATGTATTATGAAAGTGGAAGCAGAAATGAGTAGAAAGAGATGGATTCAAGAGCTATTTTGGAATTAGAATCCATAGGAAATGTCACATAAAATATTGGTAGCAGGACAGTTGAAAAAAATACATAGGCTACCTTCCACATTGTAATTCCATTTGCTTGGAGGATATTTGGCTCAAAAATCTCAATAAGAAATATAGAAAAAACTGAGTTTGGAGTGGAAATTATTAATATAAGTTTGAAAATTTGAGTTTCAAACACCTATCACACATATAGATAGATGCCAATATGGTATGTAAACAGAGGAACCGATATTATGAATAGGACATGTGATTGATAATCTAGAGCAAGTAGGTAGTAAAATCATGCTATTGATGCTGGAGCCATTGTACACCTCTTGCTTTAAAAAAATAAACCTCAACCTAAACTTCATATCTTATTTAAATTTATCTCAAAATGGACCATTAAATGTAAAATGTAAAACCATTACAATTTTAGAAAAAAAGAACAGAAATAGTCATCATCATCTAGGCTGAGGGAAAGGTTCTGAGACTTGACCCCCAAAATTATCCATAATAAAAAAATTGATAAATTGAGTGCATCAAAATTAAAATATTTTGCTCTACAAAGACTCTGTTACATGGATAAAAAGACAAGCTGTAGACTTGGAGAAAATATTTGCAAACCATATACCCAACAAAAGAATAGTAACTAGAATATATAAAGACATGTCAAAAGACAATAGTATAAAAAAGAAAAATCAAGTAGAAAATGGGCAAAAGACCTGACACATAGTTAAAGCAAAGAGCACATACAGATAGCTAGTAAGTGCGTAAAAAGGTGCTCAACATCATTAGCCAGTAGAGAAATGCAAATTAAAAACCACATTTCACTGCCAGAAGCAGTCTGCATTATACAAAATTAATAAAAGTCACTAATTTCTGCAACTTTCTATTTTATTTGCTTCCATGGCAAATTGTTGATTTTTGTGTCATTTCTCCATTTCTTTTTGAGGTTCCTTCCTTCTTCTTCCCTAAATTGAATGTGACCACTACTCAGCAATATTTTTTTATTTCTGTCTAAAATATTTCTTAGAGATTTTATGTTTATGACTTCAAATTCCAAATTTTCATTAATGATTTAGTGTGAATTGTTTCTTTAAGCTTTAAGTGAGTAAAAAGTAATATCTATCAGAATGGCTAAAATTTAAAAAAAATGACATCAGATGTGGGTGAGGATGGGAAGAAACTAGATTGCTGGTGGGAATATAAAATAGTATAGCCACTCTGTATAACAGTTTGGCTGTTTCTTATAAAACTAAACATTCAACTACCATATTACCCTATAATCATTTCCTTGGGCATTTATCTCAGAGAAATAAAAACTAACATTTATGCCCCAAAATTACATAAATATTTGTATTAGATTTATTTATAATAGCCAAAAACTGGAAAAATTCAGATTTCCTTCAACAGATCAATAGTTAAAAGATAACCCCCAAAACTCTGGTACACGCATATCATGAAACATTACTCATCAATCAAAGTAAACAAATTATCAATACAATGCGATAACCTGGGTGCATCTATAAAGAATTATATTGAGTGAGAAAAGTCAGCTCCAAAATGTTACATACTACGTGGTCACATTTGTATAACATTCTTAAGATGAGAATAATGACAGATATACAAGACAGATTGTTAGTTGCCAGGGGTTAAGATGGTGTGAAGATAGGAGGGAAGTAGGTGTCACAGTAAAAGGGCAGCTTGTGTGAATAGAAATGTTCTGTGTCTTGACTATGTAAATGTCAATATCCTGACTTGCAAGATGTTACTATTAATAGGGATGAAGTAAAAGGCACACAGGATCTCTCTATATAACATATCATAAATGTAAAACTATAATTATCACAAAAGAAAAAGTTTAAAAAAGTAGAAGTTGATGGATTTGCAGTTGTATCCAGGAGGGTAATGTACATTATTTAGATAGATCAAGTAGACAAAAGTGACAAAGTATAAATAATGTTAATTATAAATTAACAAAACTAAAAAATACCATTAATACTTACAAAATATTATTAATTAAATGTTTATCTGAATTATGCAAATACATTTTATAAATCTATATAAAATTTTCTATCATGAAAACTGAACATATAGCCTTTACAAGTGCCCAGAGAGGAGTAAAAAATAAACATATCATAATGCACATATATATGCTGTGATAAATTCAACAGCACTGCCCAAATTTTCAGGCTACAATATTACAAATTAGAATTGTTAAAATTATTAACAAAGTTCAATCAGTTAGAAATTTATCATACCCTCCAATAATTCTTACAGTGAAAACAGGAGTAAAATTAGACCATGTAGAAAATGAATGTTTGTGCCACCAACAATCATATGAAAAAAAGCTCCAAATCACTGATCATTAGAGAAATGCAAATGAAAACCACAATGTGATATCATCTCACACCAGTCAGAATGGCTCTAATTAATAATTGAAAAAATTGTAGATGCTGTTGAGGTTGTGGAGAAAGGGAACACTTACATGCTGTTGGTGGGAGTTTAGGTTAATTCAACCATTGTGAAAAGCAGTATGGCAATTCCTCAAACAGCTAAAAGCAAAACTTCCATTTGACCTAGCAATCCCATTACTGGTTATATACCCAGAGGAATATAAAGCATTCTGCCATAAAGACACATGCACACAAATGTTCATTGCAACACTATTCACAAGAGCAAAAGCATGGAATCAACTTAAATGTCCATCAATGATAGACTGGATAAAGAAAATGTGGTACATATACACCATGGAATACTATGCAGCCATAAAAAAGAATGAGATCATGTCCTTTGCGGGAATGTGAATGGAGCTGGAGGCCATTATCCTTAGCAAACTAACACAAGAACAGAAAACCAAATACTGCATGTTAGTGGGAGCTAAATGATGAGACCACATGGGGACGTAGAGGAGAACAACACACGCTGGGGCCTGTCAGATGGTGGAGGGTGAGAGGAAGGAGTGGAGGGAGAGGGTCAGGAAAAGTAACTAATAGATGCTAGGCTTAATACCTGGGTAATTAAATAATCTGTACAACAAACTCCCATAACACAAATTTATCTATGTAACAAAACTGCACATGTACCCTTGAACTTAAGACAAAAGTTTAAAAAAGAAGAAAATGAATGTTTGCATATGCAATTAAAAACATATATATTGCATATAATACATGCAAGAAAGAGATATATAATAAAATAATCAGTGTTTATATATTTTAATGCCTTCAGAATACTTTGGTATCTCTACTCATAGCCATAAGTGCTCCCAAATGAAGAAGCTAAAGGCATTCCGATGTGTAAAGTAAGTATTAAATAGGGATGCCAGAGAAGAACATTAAAGCAATCTTAAATGGTAATGAAAATAAAGATAAGATGAAGCATTAATGAATCAATAATGGAATTAATAAAACATAAAGCCAATAGTTGTTTCTTTACAAAAAAGTTTATAGTCAAATAGAAAAATCAATTATACCTCAGAAAAATATAACCATAGATTCTGAAAAAATTAAATATAAGCAATATTAATGACAACTTTAATCTTTTACATGAAAATTTCAGCCTCATCACAGTTTTACAAGATAACAAATGTCCTAAAACTTAACAAGAGAAAGTTAAGAAACTTGAACTCTCCACTAAACATAAAGAAATGTGGCACAGGCTCATATTACTAGTAATCACTTTTAATTTCCCAATACATAGGTAATTGCTATATACAAATTGTGATATTATTTTAACTTTGTATTAATCTCAAAGAATATCACACTTAGAAAACTGCTAAATATGATACCATTACAGTTAAAATATATGCTCTTTGGAAAGCTGAAGTTATATTTCCTCTAGGCTAAATGATACTAACAAAATCTCCAACCATTGGAAATGTGAGCTGTTATTTTGAGCTGTTAAAGAGTAAAAAAGACAGAGCAAGAAAAAAGTAACATAAGTTATTCCTGATTTATTTTATTCCCAACGTTAGCAAAATTCCATGGAATATGTTTTCAATAGTGATGGACACTATACATAGTCATAGGCAATGTCTCTGCACTTTCCCTGATAAGTTAGTAGTGAGATTGAACTCATCAAGTAAAATGAAGTCAATTGCATTTAGCAGAGATTTGCAGCTATTCACGTATCTGGAAGAACTAAAGGAAGAGTTAGCCTTATTTTAACTTTTTGGCAATTGCACCACCTGTCTCTTCAAAAAGACCATATTTAAATGTCCTTTTACAATGTCACTATAAGGTAGCTTAACTCTTAGTTGGTAGTCACCTTTCACTAAAATTTGCATCAATTTTCCTCTAAGAGTTCAATATTTATCAGGCAATCTACAGAAAATTCAACTACTATGTAATTTCCTTGCTGATGAATACATATTTAAAAAGTATGCTATCATTCAAACAGTAATCAAATATAATCATACACCAGAGTATATTTTACCATATAACTCTATTAATATAATGAAATGCAGAGGTAAATGGAAAATATTTACATAGGTATAAAATAATTGGCATATATGAAAGGTTTTCAGAATATTTTCTTTAATATATATAGATATCTTTGAAAGGCAGGAAAGTTTTCTTGGATATCGTCTTGTGCCCTTTGTCTGCCTCTTTCATTAAACCATCTTAAATCTGTTCTTATGTGTTCATATGCCAACCATGTGCAATCTGGCTGTTCGTACTCGTACATTTAATGCATAGAATATCTTTACTACAATAAGTTCATACCCACTGAAAATAGACTAGAGGGAGACAGCAAGTAGGTCATTGCTAGCAAGTCATTGCTAGCTTTGAAATTATCCCTAATCTGATGCTAGATTTGCACTTTGCCATCCATAATTTTCTTGATATTTAACCAGTAATCCATTTGAAATTGACAGTGTTTTTATATTTATGTTACATTTGTGATTAGCTTCTGAACAGATGTACTTCTCCCTGTGATTCATTGTGTGTTTCAATAGGATTTATTTCTGAATTTCTTTCTCTTGTGATGCTGACTCACTAGGAAAACCATATCCTGACCTGTTTCCTCCACTCCACTCAATCTCCTCTATAAGGAAGCAAAATTAAATTATGACTATGTTAATTGCTAGAGATATGCCAAAAAAAAAAAAAAAAAAGCTCCTGGACCAGGAGTCAGAAGCCCCACAACTTAGTCTAAGTTTAACCTGTTGGTGTAACATAGGCCTTCTCTGAGTCTTAATTTCTTTAGTAAATAGAGAAATGTAGTGACATAGATGGAGCTGGAGGCCATTATCCTCAGCAAACTGCATTAGCAGTAGCAGAAACCAAACACTGCACCTTCTCACCTGTAAGTGGGAGCTAAATGATGAGAACACATGGACACAGAAAGGGGAAAAACACATACTGGGGACTATGGGAAGGTGGGAGGTGGGAGGAGGGAGAGGATCAGGAAAAATAACTAATGGGTACTAGGCTTCATACCTGAGTGATTAAATAATCTGTGCAACAAACTCCCATGACACAAGTTTACCTATGTAACAAACCTGCACATGCACCCCTGAACTTAAAAGTATAAAAAAGTACAAATTGGGTCATATCACCCCGCTACCCCCTTTCTAAATCCAATCAATGCCCCTCTTCCTTATTGAATAAAACCTCCTCTTGTCCACATGAACGCCCCCTCCAAAAAAAATTAAAGATTGGTATGTTGAAAGCTTCTGGAGTCCCAAAAGTCTTTAAGACTTCAGGCATCAAAGAAATAAGCCTTAAGGGAATACTGTTAAGTCAGAACATTTGAGAAGATTTGCCTTGAACAAGAGTCCTTGAAATGACATCATTTAAGTAGCTATATATTCAACCTATGCACAAATGTAATATGAAGATATGTTCAATTAAGGCTTGTTGAGTATCTCAGTGCAGTAGCTAAAATTACATTATTAAGTAATGGCAAAAAATTAACTGGGTGTCTTGCTTTAGTGCCAACTAAAAGGAATGGTGAAGTTTGCCCAATCTGATCAGATGTGTTTTCAAAATATTATTTGACTTCAGTTTTTATTAACCTGCTCAGCAAAAATCCGTTTGTATAGCACTCAGAGAAAGGGTAGTGTGTTATCTTGTTCAACTAAAGACATTATATATTCAAGTTATAATTTACTGCCTTGGTGTAATAAAAAGCAAATACATTTTTCCCTAATATTTTTGTCACTCAAATACAAAGTTTTTCAAAATCAAAATATGTTTATGTTTATCTTATATGGTGTTTTACAGCAGGAATATTGAGAATTAGGTTATTTTCAGAGTTAGATTGTGAAATTAAATCTCATAGAGTTAATTTAAATATTTACTGTGGATAAGAAGGGGTGTAACATACTAAATCTAATATATTAATAGTAATAGGCACAGCTATCTAATTTGACTTGTTCTTTTGTTATCTACACATATAATATAAAAATCTTTAGGTTAGATAATTTCTTTTCCGAAAGAATTAGATGTTTCAGTTTTATCTTACTACCTAGGTACACAGACAATCATGGCTCTTTCCCATCCCAGGAAAGGTAAACATTTGTTTTCCCTAGAAATCCCTTAATGCTTATAGAGCAAAGTACTGTTATTTTAAAAATGCATTTCATCCTAACAGCCATACTTTCTAAGTATTTACTTAATACAAAGGAAGTAAGCTACAGTTCCTTTTAAATGTAGGTTATTACTTCAGTCTCCAACCCATTAAGTTTTCTAAACTAGGGCTTGCGGTATTTGGCATCAATTCTCCTATTCTTTTGATAAGTACCTAAACAGGATGTCCTTGAAAATTATATAAGAAATAGCTCTGCAAGTTTTCCGCCCTCAGGAATAAGCATTAAGATTGGCAGATGGCTTAAGTGGAAATACACAGAAATGCACTTTAGCCAGCATTAGAAAGTGTTCCAGCAGATATTACTGAGGTTAATTCATGAAGGACCATCTCACTTCCTTCTGAACTGAAATGTTTTAATGGCCTCAAGTTGAAGATGCTTAATTTGTGTAAACTATTCCAAGTTAGTCTCAGTGAGGGGAACTGGTATATAACTAGCATTATAAAAATGATGTTTGATTCTTTACCACAGGAATTTTATTTTTTGATAATGAAGAAAGAAGAAATATCCCAACTCAAACATTTTCCTAAATCTTGGACTGCTAAGTCATTCTGCATACAATTTAAATTCTCTATCTTTTTATATTTTTTCTCTTCTTATTCCCCTATTCAAGCACATAAAGTTAAAGTAATATGGCAAATATTTCATTATACTCTCAGAATTAAGTGTTCATAAGTTCATGAAAAATTTAAGTGCTCAGTAGTAATGTTATGCAAACATTTGAAACATTTCAATTAATTTTCCAAGTTAAAGATGTCATGTATTAGAAATAATTGGGGAAAGTCCATGAATATGGGAATTGGGAAAATATTAGTGTTTGAAAGTAATACCCTATTTTTATTTAATTCAGTATTTCATAAGCAGCAGGTATCCCTGTAGACTATAATAATTTTTGTGTTGATATTTCTAAAAGTATGAACATAATATATTCAACAAATAGGAAAGTCCTCAGAATTAACTCAAATGGGCAAAACGTGGAATTGTCCAGCATACTCCAGCAGTAGCATTTTTAGTGACATAAATTGAGCTTTCCTGTGCTTAAGTACCAACTAGGTAAAGCATAGGAAAATGCAAATAGAAAATATTCAAGGAATATGAAGAATTTTTAAACTTTTAGTATTAATTTTGTCCTTCAATCTACCAGCTTACTAGCAAGTCAGCTATCCACATTTCATTATGAGGATATACACATATTTGGTTAAACTGGAGGTCAAAAAATAAGGAACAATTAAAAAAATATTGATAATTGAGAGATTTAACTTCTAGGATTTTTCTTTCTTATTTAATTCAAATTGTATTACATAATTTCCTTTCAATCACTCTAACCTTTTACATATTGTATTGCTATCCTGAGAGTGTGTGTACTCTCTTCCCCGCTAACTTCAGTTTAATGGGAACAGAATAGAGTAGAATTCAGCTAAACACTAAACACTAAATGGACACTTATTACTATTTTATATACAGCATGTTCAGCTACCAGACATTCCCTACCTCCATTTATCCACATACTAAATTCTGCCTTGAAATTATCAGTAATATATAAGAACTTGGGGAAGTAAATTCTGTGAGCTAAAATGATCTACGTTCACATGAATCAATATATTTATAGATTTCGGTAACTGTTTTTAAAAACTAAACTTTAATAATAAAAATCACAGGAAAATAAATACATTTATAATTCATGTCATTAAAACAGAAACATTAAGAAACATGCAAAATTCTTCATAGGATATTTTCAAAATGTGTTATAATGCTAACTTGCTCAATTTGTGTGTGTTTATGTGTGTTTGTGTGTATTTTTCTGTATGTGTGTTGATTTTGGCTTTAGTTGTAAATTGAAAACAGAAGGCAAAATTACTTCCTTATTTCCTAAAAATATATACTATATTATCTTTTAAATAAGAGGTTGGAAATGTTTTTATTCAATGAACTACTTTTTTAAAAAAGCGAACTTAATGGTGTTTACATGAATATGAATTGCTATGGTTGTAGTTCTAAATGAGTCCAAATATCTCTGAGATTACCCCACCTTTTCCTTCTCTACTCCCAAGAAACCAAGAACTTTGTTTCTCAATTATTTCTTGTATACATCAAAGCTCCCATATTTCCAGTCCACACCTCTGTCATGAGGCCCAGAAAAGCCAGCTTCAATAAAATAAACCCTACACTGAAATCACTATAGTCATTCTCTTCAATCTGGATTTTTCTTTTGTATTCCCCAGACAATTCCATAGTATTACCCAAGATTATTACCCAAGTATTATTGCAAGAGTAATCTTTTAAAGCAAATATAATTATGTCATTCCTGCCAATAACATCCTTTCTAGAGCTTCATAACCTATACGAAAAAGTAGAAACTCCTCATCATAGCATAGTAGGTCAAGGACTTCCTAATCTAAGATTGTCTACCTTTCCAATTTACACCATACAGTAAGGAGATTCACACTCAACTGCCCTAAAATGCTATGGATTTTTTTTTTTTTTTTTGAGTCAGAGTCTTACTCTGTCGCCCAGGCTAGAGTGCAATGGCACGATCTTGGCTCACTGCAACCTCCATCTCCCAGGTTCAAGCAATTCTCCTGCCCCAGCCTCCTGAGTAGCTGGGATTACAGCCGCCTGCCACTGTGCCTGGCTAATTTTTGTATTTTTAGTAGAGACAGGGTTTCACCATATTGGCCAGGCTGGTCTCGAACTCCTGACTTCATGATCCACCTGCCTTGGCCTCGCAAAGTGTTGGGATTACAGGCATGAGCCACCATGCCTAGCCGCTATGGTATTTTTTATCAAAATTTTTCTTTTGCAGTATGTCATACTGAAATCAAAGTGTACAAATGAAATCATGCCAGTATGGTTGTGTATTTTTCTCTTTCTTTTTTAAGACCTGTCAATTTTTCCTGTGTGTATATTGATCTTAAACATTAGCCGCATTATTACAATTACCATTGTTCACAATTACTAAATTATTAAATTTTTTATTGGATTAAGTCATTTATCATTATAAAGTGTATTTTCTCACCTTTGCTATCACTTATTGCCTGAATCCTACTACCAAAACATCACCACTTTGATTAGTGTTTGCATGCTAATATCCTTTGAGTTTCAGCTTAAAAAAATATTTTTGGTATATTCTCTTGTAACCAGTATATTTTTGGATATTTGTCTTTAATCTAGTGTAAGCATTTCTATTTTTATTAAATATTTGATCTATTTATGTTTAATATATTCACTAATGTAGTTGGTTTCAATTTTGTCATTTTATTATTTCTGCCCTACTCATTTTGTTACTTTAGCTTTCCTTCCCTCCATTATTTTGGGTTAATTAAGTGTTCTTTCATGACTTCATTTTTTTCTCAGCTAGTTATATACTAAGAGTGTCCAAGTCTTGTTCCTGTTTTTCAAAAACAATTCTTTTTTAACTTTTAAAATTTATTTTTATTATTATTTTTTAATTTTTGTGGGTACATAATAGGTATATTTAGTTATGCAGTACATGAGATGTTTTGACACAGGCGTGCAATGTGACATAAGCACATTATGGGGAATGCGGTGTCAATCCCCTTAAGCATTTAACCTTTGAGTTACAAACAATTCAATTACACTCTAAGTTATTTTAGAATGTACAATTAAGTTATTATTGCCTATAGTCACCCTGTTGTGCTATCAAATAGTAGGCCTTATTCATTCTTTCTGTTTTGTTTTGTACACGTTAACCATCCACACCTCCCGCCAATCCCCCTGCTGCCCTTCCCAGCCTCTGGTAACCATCCTTCTACTATCTCCATGAATTCAATTGTTTTGATTTTTAGATCCCACAAATAAGTGAGAACATGCAGTGTTTGTCTTTTTGTGCCTGGCCTATTTCACTTAACATAATGACCTCCAGTTCCATCCATGGTGTTGCAAATGACTGGACAGCATTCTTTTTTATGGCTGAATAGTACTTCATTGTGTATACGTGCCACATGTTCTTTATCCATTCATCTGCTGATGGACACTCAGGTTGCTTTCAATTATTGGCTGTTGTGAACAGTTCTGCAACAAACACGGAATTGCAGATATCTCTTTGATGTATTGATTTCCTTTCTTTTGGGTATATACACAGCAGTGGTATTGCTGGATCCTATGGTAGCTCTTTTCTCAGCTTTTTGAGGAAGCTCCAAACTGTTCTCCATAGTGGTGGTATTAATTTACATTTCCACCGAAATATACAAGGAAATCTGTATGATTTCTGTATGATTACTCATCATTCACATCTTACTCCAAATGCAATGGCCTTTTCTCTAAATTCTTGCCAGCATTTGGGATTTCCTATCTTTGGGATATAAGCCATTTTAACTGGGGTGAAATGATATCTCATTTTAATATTCACTTGCAATTCTCTGATAACTAATGATGTTAAGCACTTTTTCATATGCCTGTTTGTCATTTGTGTGTCTTCTTTTGAGAAATGTCTATTCAAATCTTTTGCCCATTTTTTTGAGAAGAGTATTAGATTTTTTTTCCGTAGAGTTGTTTGAGCTCCTTATATATTTTGGTTATTAATCCCTTATCAGATAGGTAGTTTGCAAATATTTTCTTCCATTCTGTGGGTTGTTTCTTCACTTCGTTGATTATATCCTTTGCTTTGCAGAAGCTTTTAAACTTGATGCGATCAAAAGGAATTCTTCTAACATTACCAATATATTTGTAATAGGTAGTTAGTGAATAAAATGGACATATTTACAAAGCAAAGAAGTTCTCTTCTGGTAATAATTTTAATCAGCTCTATCATGTTTAATAAAAAGATTTATTGATTAGCAAAGCAAGATCCTTCCTTGTTCTACCAAATATGCTTTTTTTCTACATCTTTGAGAAGATCAGACAGTTTGCTTCTACCTAAAAATGTACAGGTAGAAAAAAAATTCCAAGGGCTAAGCCTGATAGCTTCCGTCAGACAGCAAGGCTCCAGCCTCGCACTCCTAATACCCGTATTCCACACAGTAGCCAGAGTGACCCTTCTAACGTTCAACTCAGATCATGATTTTCCTATGATTAATAATGCATTCCAATTTCAACAGTAATTAAATACATATTTATTACTATGGTGACAAGATCTTAGAAGATTAGTCATCCATCTGTTTGCTTGATTCTCATCTCTCGCCTTCCTTCCCTTATTCACTATATTTCAGTCATAATGGCCTTCCATCTCTCAAAATAGTCAAGTGCATTTTTATCTCAAGGCCTTTACATCATCTCTTCCTTTAGTTCGGAATATTTTTACGTATCTAGGGATTACTCATCATTCACATCTTACTCCAAATGCAATGACCTTAGAAGGCGATTTCTTAGCACTATTTCATCCCCATAGGGTCATTTTTTACCCCATATTACTTGTTTATTTATCCTGTGTTTATTTTCTGAATTATACCAATTCTTGTACTTGAATACTTAAATACTAGACTCTGTCTGAGTAATTTGCTGCTATATTCTCAATTTTTCACAGTGCTGGATATACAGTAGGCAAATATATGTGGACTATTTGACTACTTTAATTGCATGTCAAAAATAGAATCCGTGATTATTCCTATCCCAATTTGCTTCCCTCTTAGCACTTTTCCATTTAAGTAAATGACAACATTACTGTGGGTGTGTAAAGTTAAAACTTAGGAGTCACCTTACTTTTTCTTTTCAGTTCAATTCATTTACTAATTCTTGATTCTTTCCACAAAACATATGCTAATACTGTCTACTGATGTCTGTGTATTCTGCAATCATACTATTCCAGGCCAGTGTCATATTTCATTTGTTTGGGTATAAAGGCCCCTTGTGGTGGATTTATTAGTATTCAGAAATAGGTTCTGCCTCTCTCCTGGGAAGCCTTGTCTTTCTTCACACTGATGCTCTGGCTTGGCCGTGTAATTTCCTCTGAACAATTGAATGTGAAAATAAGTGTTACTTCTAGGCAGATTCACTAAGAATTAGAATCTCTAAAGTCAGTCTATCCTTTCCTCTGTTATGAAACAAGAAATTTTTTCAGCCAGAGTCTTCAGCTTCACCCACCTTGTTCTAGAGTGAGGATGAAGTTGAATAGGACTTTAGCCTACAGTGCACATACGATTTGTGCTTATAAACCCCTCATGATGATCATCTATTTGTTTTGTTATTGCAGTCATCTAGAAGTAAAATAACTAGGTCAAAATAATTAAGACATATTACTACAGGTGGTTACAATTTCTATAAAAATTCAAAGCTAAAAGCAGCACTGAGGTCTAGAAATTATATAAATAAATAGTAGTAAACAAAAAAACTATATTTGATTTATGGACTCGCAGAAGATTCATTATATCATCTTCAAGTTACTTATCAAGATGTTACTATCATGCTTAATTTCCTCAGCTAATTTTAAGATACTGTATGTTTGTATCATTAAATATCTCAATGACACTTTAGAGTATAAAGATGTTATTATTCACCCTTGTTTCCCCAGAACTGGAAGAGTATTTCTGTATAGTGAATGCTCCATTCATAGGAATTACTAAAAGAAAGATACATAGACAATGGGTAAATGAACAAATGCATATAGCAAAGCAAACTGAAATAACATATTCCAACATTATATGCATAACTAATTAAATCTTAGATACTGATAAGTGGAAAATTATAGTTGTATCCAAAGACAATATTAAAACTATTTCTTTGATTTGTCTGACGTAATAGGAGATGTCCCTTGTATATCTTCCTTCCAGAACATTTATTTCAATTATACCTGAAATTCCACCATTTGAGGATTGTCCCTTGTTCTCATGCATAGCAGTTTGGTATGGCTTTCTGTATATATGCAGAAATGATATTGTGTATTTTCCAGCTACTAAAATGAATTATTATATAATAATTTATTCCTTCATTTAGCATTTATGAAATGTTTAATATAAACAATAATGTTGGATAACTAAACTAAAAAAGTAAAAAGAGACATAAACCCTCATTTCAATTAAGCAACAGTTTAATGAACAATGTTTTCCTACATTAATGAGGATAACTGAAATTACAGGATTATTTAAAGCTGGCAAACAAGAAAACAAAGAATGAAAGAAAAATTCTAAGTTATAAGAACGAGTCCATGGTATTGAAAAATGAGAGAAAAGTGAAAAAGGGGATTTCAAAATATGAATTTATATTTATAATTTTAAGTAGTTAAAAATAAAGTCTTTGATCTGATACAAAGTGACTTTCTCTGCTATTCAAAACTTTTATCTGCTAAAATACTGATTTAGCCCCAATTTACTCTATCATATTCAATTCTAGGTGCTTTACCGGTGAAGAAATTGAGACTCAGAGCCATTGGTAAATTTTCCTGTCTACACAGTCTTAAGTAGTTGGTCAGTCAGGCTCCAAAGTCCATATATTTTCCCCTACCTAGGTTATTATTCTATAAAGTCAGACATTGTTGATTCAATGATTAAAGTACTGTTAGATTTAATTCTTGTAGTATTCATAATCCTTATTTTCCAGAGGACCAGAAAGGTGAAATAACACAGAAATATTCTGAAAATTACTTATCCTTACCAAAGAGTGTTGCTTGTCTTTTGGAAATCAGAGACATAAAGAAAGGTCTAGTGTCCAGCTGTATGTTCTTTAAAAAATCTTATCTAGCTTTCCCATTCATGCTCACTATTCTGCTACCTTTCTCACTTATGCCTAATTCTATAGTTTGAGACCTCGTGGTTGTTTGTTCGAACACAAAATATAAATTCTGCACTCCATTCTTCAAAGCTTAAAATATTTCAATGTTCAAAGTCCTTGTTTCCAAATGGTAACATACAGTCAGAATATACTTACATATTTTACTTCAGGATTTTGTTTTAAGAATACATACCAAACAGATAGTCAGGATTGTTTTAGAAAGCATGCATAAGTGTGATTTTTGTATTTTCTATTTTAAAAGTCTCTTGAAAAATGAATACCACACTTTGAGTCTAATGTTAGATTACTTTCCCCCAAATGAGAAGACTTTGACTTGAGTTCTTAAATCTGATGACTAAGCACATTTCTTGACATAAAGTGGAGTCTCCCTAAATATGTCTTGACTAAGAATTAATTCTGTGAATAGATATGGCTTTTGATATAGGATTCCTAGTAAAACTCCAATCCTACAGAATGAGCTAGGGAGAAAAAAGTTAAATAATTCTTAGTAGGCTGAAAGGCAAGAGATCTGTCCTAACATATTTAACTCCCTCTAAGGCATACAGATGTTCTTCTCCCAAAGGGAGGAAAGAAGTGGAAGATGAAATTGAAGAGATAGTACTATGTCTTGTCAGCAGTTTCGGAACAACTGCCAATGAGATTCACTATTAGCAAAGAGGTTTCAGAGATAATGCATTGTTACAACTGGCATCCTCACACAGGATGCTTGGCTTTTTAAAAGAATCAATACTTTGCTATTTGCAATAAAGTTAAAGGTAGAGTGCACAGAGACAGAGAGGGATGTGGGGAGAGAGAGAATTCAATTATTGTACAAACACTGAGAGAACCAGGTACTTTACTAAAATGACAATTCTCTATATTTGCTTCTCTAAGTAAAATTTTGCAAGTTAAATTATTAAAAAAATGAGAAAATGTAGGCAGATATAATTCTCATGAGAGAATGATAAGAAATAGGATGGCCTTTTGTCAAATTTCCTTCCTTTTTTCGTCCTTCTTCCTCTCTCATTTTCGTACCTTTTCCTCTTTCTTTCTTCCTCTTTTTCTCTATTTCTTACTTTCTTTTTTTCATTCTCTCCCTTTCTATCTCTTCCTCTCTTATTCTTTCATGTTTCTGTGATTCTTTCATTTTAAAAGTTGTTTTTTAAACTACCAATGGAATTATTTCCAAGGTCATTAGTGGCAGCATCTGGTATTATTGATGAAAGTGGGATGCCTAGGATTATGTATGGGGGGGAAGAGCAAGAATTCCCTGGGCCCTGTGAAGAAGCAAACTTCTCTTCCATCTGGTTGTGAGCAGCATCCCTAAGGGACAGTGGACAGGAAAGACACTTAAAGGGCAAATTCCTCTCTACTCCAAGATCTGTACCCAGGGCCAAGCTTTCCCACACCTGGACCATGAATGGATTTTTCAATTATAATTAGATAAGAAAGAAACTTTATCATCTATTATTTTCAGGAGCAGAAGTTGGATGGAAATGTTAGTAGCTAGAAAAGAAGAAAAATGAGCTACAGAGTATGCTATTGTGTCTTACTTGGATGAAATTTTGAAATAAATTGGCAATATTAAAATGAAGTTTGATTCTGATTTTCAAGAGATATTGCTTTCAGATTCTCAACTTATTCAGTATTTTTTAAAAAAACTTTTAATATCTTACTACAAAAATACATTGCATTTTGCATATTGATGAGTAACACAACACTTAAAAGAATCCCTGTTCTCTGTTTCCACAGAGGAGATTTATATAAAATAGGTTGTTTTTTGATTTAGAAACAGAAAGTTTTCAACTTACTGTATTCACTTGATACAATAAACACAGCTGTCTATAGAAACATCAGCAGTTGAATTATCAAATACTTTCAAGTAAGTCAGAGTGAGATAAATTTCCTAGACTTTTAAAATTTAACACTCTATGGAATTGAGTGGCCTATTTAAAAAACCTGTATTTTAAAATATTATGTTTATGAATCCCTGAAATCTTACCCATTGTGTAACCGTACTATACAGTCATGCACTGTAATGACGTTTCAGTTAACAATAAACACCAGACACAAGAGTGTTTCCATAAGACTATAATGTAATTGAATAATTTTTATTGCCTAGTGATGTCATAGATGCCATATTCTGTAGCACAGCACATTATCTTTTCTATGTTTAGATATGTTTACATACATAAATATGTACCATTGTGTTACAATTGTCTTTGTTATTCACTACAGTAATATGCTGTACAAGTTTAGCTTAGGAGTAATAGGCTATACCATATAGCCTCGGGGTGTAGTAAGTTATACCATCTAGGCCTGTGTGTACTCTACAACGGTCAAACAATGATGGAATGGCCTAAAGACATATTTCTTAAAATTTATCCTCATTGTTAAGTGATATATGACTACATATCTGTGTGTGTGTGTGTGTGTGTGTGTGTGTGTGTGTATGCATGCATGTGTGTGTGTTCTAGTTCCTGAGAGTTAGGGACTTAAAATTATCACAGGTTAATATATATGTATTCATGTTTTTGTGCATGTTTGTTTGCCTTAGACATTAGGTCAAGCTAAGATTTCCAAATAATCATGTATAAAATAGAAATCATTGGTTTAACATTTGTTATTTGTATATAATCAATTTTCAGGGTATTCTCATTACATTGTGGAAAATAATAGAGGAAAAATAGAGACCTTTCATAGACTAGGTCTATTTCAACTTGTAAACAAGAAGGAATTGCTTTTAATCTGAGACAGTGAAACCACTGCAGAAGATAGGCATTGCTATACGGTAGAGGATGTCAAACCTCAGACGATTTGACTTTGAACTGGTACATGTGCCAACAGCTTTAACATAGAGAAAGTCTCCGTGTGTAGACATAAATTCGGCTGCCATAACAATTACCTGTTTGAACAAGAAATGAAACCAGTAATGATAACCCAAAGATCAATAGGTGAGAGGGGTTACTTCTGGTGAATGGCAAAGAAAAAAATAACCTACAGACATGAGTAAGTGTATAATCATTTACACAGAGAGAGTCAAGAGTAGAAATTTTGGGGGAGATTTGTCTCAAATCCTGGCAAAGAAAACATAAAGAATCTAGAGATAAACATTACCACATTAAACTTTGCTTTAGATTGCCTTTTGTTTCATGCTCTATACTCAGTCATGGACCCCTAGATCTTTATGTAGCTGGTTATAGTCATCATTATAGGGATAGATAGACACATTTAAAAGCCCATTGGAATTTCTGCATGGCCTTAAGTTATTGTATACTTGCCTAAGACTAATTTCTGTCGGCCAGGAAGTATTTATTAACCAACTAACTAGAAGAAAACTGTAACTTTATATCTCTAAGTTAATAAAAATGCCCATTAGTAAATAGCATTCTGCATATTTGCATGCCCCAAACCATCTCATGAAGTTCTTATCCTAAGTTAAAACATACTCTTGTCTATCCATGAAAGTGTTCTTTTAATCCCTAAGGTATAATGTGGCTTTTCTGGCCACTAATATGGCTGGAACTGAATCCAAACCAAGCCACAAATTTAAAAAAATTCCAAATTACATAGATTACAAATAAATTTCTTACAGTCATTTCCTTGGAAAGTATTAAACAAAATTGTTTTATTTTTATTATTATTTTCTGACTTTTGGATTTGCAGACTTTTTTCAGTATTGCTGTGCACTGCTTTTTTATACACAAAGAAGGGTCCTGATATTAAAATTTCCCTTTTTATTCTTACATTTCTTTTTATTTCTTCAGTAGATTTATTTTAATGCAATTCTATTTAAATTATAAAATACTAATAGAGTATTCTTTATTCAAAATGCTTGAGACCATTTCTGAACTTAGGATGTTTTGGATTTTTGGAATATTTGCATATACATAATAAGATATCTTGGAAATAGGGCCCAAATCTAAACACAAAATTTATTTATGTTTCATATGTTAGTTTCATATGTATGTTCATATATATGTTTCATATATATCTTATACATATACATATATGTATTCTTATACATATGCACTTATACATAAACATATATATGTATACACGTACATATACAAGCATACATATATGTATATGTATAAATATACATATATAAGTATATGTATAGGTATATATACTTATACATATACATGTATACTTATACATATATACCTATACATATACATATATGTATACACATATGTATACTTATGCATATACACATATGTATACTTATGCATATACACTTATGTATACTTATACATATATGTGTACTTATACATATATATGTGTACTTACACGTATACTTATACTAGCCTGAAGGTATTTTATACCATATTTTAAATAATTACATGCATGAAACAAAGTTTGTGTACATCGAACCATCAGAAAGCAAAGGTGTCACTATCTCAGCCACCCATGTGGACAGTCTGTGGTTGTTTGACATCATCATTATTTCTTACTCTCAATTTATATGCTATTGATAAGCAATAATTTTCTAACCCTTATTCACACATAATTACTTAACAGTAAAAAAGATATATTAATATAGCAAAAAAATAATATATTTAGAATAATTAAGCAGCACAATAGCATCACCAGAATACCTGAATCATTCTTTAAACAACAGCAATAACAAGCAACAGCAGTCTCCACCTATGACGCTGTGTTTTGATTAAAAGTTTACCGTTCACTGTGTTTTTATTTTCAAGATGAGAAGACACGTCAGAAGCAGGAAATGGGTCCTCTAGGGATTAGGAGGCATTCTGCTAGATGGGTCTTTCAATGTTATTTCTAGAGTCATTTGCCTCGTTAAGAAACATTTTTGTCTTAAAGTGTTTCTTTCATTTTGAAAACCGAAATGATTTCTTGTTCAGTTATGAACGCAAGCTGCTCTAGTCCTTCAATAAGCCCATTATATATTTTCATTATATCATCTCTAGGCACTATTTCTGCAGTGTTGAAGGGGTCATCTTCATCATCACTATTATCACTATCTCCTTGATTCAGAACCATTTCAGTTATTTCACTAGTCAATGAATTAACAAGAACTTCATTATTAATGTTAAAAACATCTTCAATGTTCACTTCTTCGAGCTTACTAACACTCTGAAGGAGTAGTTTTTGCATATGTAAGGAAGTCAGATATCATCTTACTCTCACTTGACACATGGAATCCTTCAAAGTCAACATCTTGTTCTTTATTATCATTGAAAGTAGTCACAGGCCAGTGGTTGTGCCAGGCATGCTCAACTGTGTCTTTAGTCATCGTGTTCCAAGCATTGGCAATAGCATACATGGCATCCTTCATGCTTGTGACACCTAGTTTTAGGTATCCAATTAATTGGCTTAAGGAATACCTAGAAACCTGGTAAAGCATTATTTTTGAGTGTCTTTATGAAGGTGTTTTCAGAGGAAATTAGCATGTAAGCCTGAGTGGACTGGGTGGGGAATATGTGACCTCAACATAGGAAGACACCATCCCATCTGCTGGAGGCCTGGGGAAAAGAAAAACAGAGAAAAGGCAAATATGTTGGTCTATCTTCTAGAGCTGGGATACACACTCCCTCTCCTGTCCATGGACAACAACTCCAGCTCTGCAACCTTTAGACTCCAAGACTTACATCAATGGTTTGGACTGAGAATTACACCATTGGCTCTTCTTGTTCTGAAGCATTTGGACTGATGCATGCAATTAACATCCTGGGGTCTCCAGCTTGCAGAAAGCTTGTCATGTGACTTCTCAGCTTCCGTAATCACATAAGCCAACTCTTCTCATAAGTACTCTTTCATATATATATGTATATGAACTCTGATGAATACAATGCTGACTTCTTTGAAAGCCTTCTGCACCCTTGCCTTTGTTCATTACTGCTAGCATGCTGCTCAAGAAGGGGTTTTTATATTTACTTGTTATTGATTATAGATATCTTGGTTACATGGTTGGATGAATGAATTCACATTTGGAAGTATAACTTGTAATGAGTATTTCAGCTAGAGGATGAGCAGACAAATTTGTCAAGGAATAACAAAATCTCTCATAATAATGAAGTGGTAGGAAACTTACTACTTGAAAAAAGCAAGGATGCAAGATTTCCCCGATCACAGCTAATTTACACTTATGCTTGCCTGCTGCATTAGCACATCCCAGTACAGTTATTCTATCCTTAGCAGTCTTAATTCCTGTAGCGGGTGTCTCATCAGCTGTAGTAAATGTCTTTCTGGGGCAAGAACACAAAAACAGTGATGTTTCATCAGCGTTATTTACTTGGTCTTGTGTCATATTTTTATCAGCAGTTACTTTGGCAAATCAATGAGTTTTTCTGCCGCTTCATGATCAGCAGATGCTTTATTATCACAAATATCTAAAAATGTAATGCCGTGTTTTTTTCTTAAATGTTTGCAACTAGCCTGTTGAGTATTTATAGTTTCCTTCAATTTTCAGTTCATTGTGATAGACCTTTGCTTGTTTCATGATCAGCATACCATTAAGTTGTATGTGTTTACTGCCACACTGATGGATGTACTCCTCTAATACTTGATCTCATTTTTTAGCTTTATGTAGTAGTTTTTTTCTATTTTTCCTTAACTTTTTTTTTTAGACAGAGCCTTGCTCTGTTGCCCAGGCTGGAGTGCAATAGCACAATCTCAGCTCACTGCGACCTCCACCTCCTGGGTTCAAGGGATTTTCGTATCTCAGCCTCCCTAGTAGCTGGGATTAGAGGCGTGCACCACCACAGCTAATTTTGTATTTTTTGTAGAGATGGTGTTTCACCATGTTGGCCAGGCTGGTTTTGAACTCCTGATCTCAAGTGATCCACTTGCCTCAGCCTCCCAAAGTGCTGGGATTACAGGCGTGAACCCCTGTGCCTGGCCTATTTTTCATTAACTTCTGTTCATCAATTTCATCCTAGAACTTTGACAGTTTATCCTTCTGTTTCCTTAGGTCACATGTAGTGGTTATGCTGACATCATAATTTTCTGTAAGTTGTTTTACGTGCACACTGCTGTCCAGTTTCTCCAACAGCTTTACTTTCTGTGAGCATAAACTCATCCTTTTCCTTATCACTGTTACCCACAGGGGCATCATCCAGGCCCTTTGGACATTTTCAACAAAGTCATTTTCAACACCATACAGCAGAAAATAAGCAAGAGCAGTGAGTAATGCACATGGATCTTGGCCCCATGTGGGGCATCGTGTGGAGGCTGCCATTGACATATTCACCCTGCACACATGGCATTTTATTACCCTTTGTGTGTCTCCTTCATGGGGGAATCCGGGTGTGTGTGGAAAAGATATATCACAGATGAAGAAGGCTGGAAAGATTATTTTTACCCCTTCAGGATACTAAGTAAACTTTGTGGTATGCACCTGCATTTTGACTGCAACTCATCACATAATGACAGGCGTAAAATTTTCCACTTGTGGCATCATGTTGGTGCTCAAAAGTTTCAAATTTGAGAGCATTTTGGATTTCAGATTTTTGGATTAGGTATGCTCAACTTATAGTACACATTTAAATAATTTGGGGGTGATATAGAAAAAAAGCCTATTTGTAAAAAATTGTGCTATTGGTAAATTAATTTAGCAAAATTTTAGTATTTTAAAATATGCAGTGAACAATTGCTTTTCAGGTCAGTTGCTAAAATATGAGGAAATATAGAAGCAAATCTAGAACAAATTAATGTTCAGAAAGATTATGTTAATGTGTTGACCATGTTGGAGTTTGCCTGAGCCCTTGCCGTTGGAAAACAGCAAAGATGATAAATTCCCCCACCCTTCCACCTTTTGTGTTCCAAAATGTCTTATCCCAAAGAACTACTGTATTCCCACATATACTTCAATATTCTTAAGTGACTCAGATACGATTTCTATCCATCTTGCTTGTGATTCCTTTGTTTTATAATATCCCAGGTTTTCAATCTCTTCCTTGAGATGTTCCCCATTAATGAAGAATCTCTCTGTTGCAATGACCTGAGTAAAATCATCTCCTTAATGGCATGACGCATTTTTGTCTTTCACTGTGTTGAATTTATATTATTACTCCTGGCAACTGTCAGTTAGAGAGACAACATGACGGCTAGGGTTCTGCATTTTGAAACCATCACTCTGGACATGAAATATACTCTTTTAAAGTAGTGGGTATTTTAAATCTATTTTTAAAAATCAATGTATACATGTACCCTGTTAAAAAAAGAGGAGATTTGGCAGTTTTTTTGTTTTGATTAGCATAGATCTTCATTCAATTATATATTTGTTCATGGCTTAATTGTGCTCAAGAATGAGTTATGTGACTTACAGGTTATATAACTTATCAGCTGTGTAAACTCAGGGAAATGACTTAGGCTTACTAATCCTTTGTTTCCCTATATTCCTTATTTCCTACTTCATAGGATTATTGTGAAGATTCAATTAGGTAATATAAAAACTGGCACTGTTGGAGTTGGCTATTGTTATATAATCTATCATTTTATTAAATCTTTAAGTTTTTTTTTTTTTTTTGAGACAGAGTTTCACTCTTGTCACCCAGGCTGGAGTGCAATGATGCAATCTTGGCTCACTGAAACCTCTGCCACCCAGGTTCAAGCAATTCTCCTCCCTCAGCCTCCAGAGTAGATGGGATTATAGGCGCCCACCATCATGCCAGGCTAATTTTTGTCTTTTTAGCAGAGATGGGGTTTCACCATGTTGGCCAGACTGCTCTTAAACTCCTGACCTCAGGTGATCTGCCCACCTCGGCCTCCCAAAATGCTGGGATTACAGGTGTAAGCCAACTTGTATGGCCTAAGCTTCATTTTTTAAAGGTGTAGATTTCATTATTTCAAGCTCCATTCAAGGAGACTTAAGTAAAGAGGTTCCAGGAAGATTTCATTATAGACCACCACTCTAAATTCCTATCACAGTCCTTAGGATTTTGATTAGCATAGATCTTCATTCAGACAATTATATATTTGTTCATGGCTTAATTGTGCTCAAGAATGAGTTATGTGACTCACCGGTTATATAACTTATCAGCTGTGTAACCTCAGGGAAATGACTTAGGCTTGCTAATCCTTTGTTTCCCTATATTCCTTATTTCCAACTTCATAGGATTATTGTGAAGATTCAATTAGGTAATATAAAAACTGGCACTGTTGGAGTTGGCTATTGTTATATAATCTATCATTTTATGAAAGCGCTAAGATTTTTTTTTTTTTTTTTTTTTGAGACGGAGTTTCACTGTTGTCACCCAGGCTGGAGTGCAATGACGTGATCTCGGCTCACTGCAACCTCTGCCACCCGGGTTCAAGCAATTCTCCTGCCTCAGCCTCCACAGTAGATGTGATTAGTAGAGAGTGCTGAAAACCCTGCTCTACATCATTTATTTGAAAAATAACTAAATATATATTATGTTTTTATAGAATATTTTCAGAATAATCATTTTATTCCATAAAGGCAGATTGTTTTTCGTTTTGTTTTATAATCATGATTCCCCTTTTCTAGGAGTTATATAATAAAATAATAAACAAAAACGACCTGGATTCTTGGGTGGAGCTATGCAGCATTAAAGATACAGCTCAACAAATAAACAATTGTACAAATTAAATTTTACCCACAATTCTAAGTGACTACATAGGTGAGTAAGCAAGTTGGCCATGATTTTCCTGTAGCTGATGGAACTCTCTAGATTAGCAATAGCCTCCTATCAGCTTTTCTGCATTATTAAAAATAAAAATTATACTTTTATTGTAAGATGCGGACCATGCATACCCCAGAAATTAAATTATCAGACCTAAGTAGGATTTACTGTTTTGAAGAATGTTAGCAAAGTAACATGAGTAGCAAATTTAGTTGATTGGCTAGACGTATGCTAAAAATGTTTCTAGAAAAAAAAGGAACGAAAGAAAGAAAAAAGGAAGAAAGAAAATAAAGAAAAGTAAAAAGCTATACTAGAAATGATCATATCTTTTAGTTGAGAGTGAGTGACTTCAGTATGTTGCCAATTGTAAGTGCTGCTCTTTGTCATTTATGGTATGAGCTATTCTTCTTGAATTCAGAAGTAAATGTAGGCCAACTGGATATACGGTTGTTACTGCTTTAAAAATATTATTCAACAAAATGTGAACAACATTTAAATGAGTCATTCGGTTTGGAATTGAAGTCTGAATGCATTTTAAAAACTGAACTATGGGCCAGGCACAGTGGCTCATGCCTGTAACCCTGCACTTTGGGAGGCCAAGGCGGGTGGATCATGAGGTCAGAAGTTCAAGACCAGCCTGGCCAAGATGGTGAAACCCCGTCTCTACTAAAAATACAAAAATGAGCCAGGTGTGGTGGTGGGCACTTGTAATACCAGCTACTCGGGAGGCTGAGGCAGAGAATTGCTTGAACCTAGGAGGCAGAGGTTGCAGTGAGCCAAGATCGCGGTCACTGCACTACAGCCTGGGTGACAGAGCTAGACTCCATCTCAAAAAAACAAAACAAAACAAAACAAAACAAAAACCTAACTGAACTATACATGAACGTTTACAATTGTATTTATTTGTATTAAATTATACACTCCACAGCTAACTGTTGAGATAGCTCTTTTTCACAATTCTTCATATCTGCTTTTCAGGATAACCCATCCTTTAAGGTATGTGTATAAAGAGAGAACCCCTGGCTACTCTTGCATATAAGCAGAATGAATTCTGCCTAATTGAATAAATTAGCTGTCTTAATCAATTTCGTACTGCTGTAACAGAATACCTGAGATTGACTACTTTATAATGAACAGAAATTTATTGACTCACAGTTCTGTAGGCTGGAAGTCAAATATCAAGGTGCTGGCACCTTGTGAGGGCCTTCTTGCTGTGTCATAATGTGGTGGAAGGCATCGCATGACAGAAGTGCAAAGAAAGGGCATGAAACAGAGCAAGACAGGGCAAAACCCACTCTCACAATAATGGCATTGGTCCGTACATGAAGTAAGAGCCTTCACGACCTAGACACCTCTTAAAGGTCCCATCTCCCACTATCATCACAATGGCAATTACATTTTAACATGAGTTTTGGAAGAGACAAACACAAAACCATAGCCGTCTGCTCCTGGCCCTCAAAACTTATGTTCTTCTCACATACAAAATACATTCATTCCATGCCATTAGCTCGAAATATCTTAGCTCATTGCAGCATCGGCTTGTAAGTCTAAAGTCCAGAGTTTCATGTAAATCAGATATGGGTGAGACCCAAGGCACTGAAACCACCTCTGCAGAGGTTGTAACAACGAGAAAATTATGACAGTGAAAGAGATCTGTCCTAACTGACTCCATCTTACCTTTAACCTCCAAGCTGCCCTTGTTCATTCCTGAGCACAGGCCAAACTAACTTTGGGAGGAATTTAGTTTATACTTACACTTTGAAACAATGATGATAACAGCTCCCTCCCAAAACAAACCCTCTCCTGGTCTCGAGACCAGATTGTGTTTGTAAAACTAACAAATTAGCCACAATATTAGAAATTATGCAGTCTGAGGCCACAAGATCATTAACCCCCCCAATTGTTCCTATAGCTAACACTAATACTATAAAACCTAACATTGGTGTTTGAGGTATTTTTCAGACCCTGGGTCCTGATGGATCAGCTGGCTTCACCTAGATCAGTAAACTGGCTCTTCTGATCTTGTGGCCCTACCCAGTAACAGATTCAGCACAAGAGGACAGCTTGACTCCCTGTGATTTAGTCCCTGACCCAACAAATCAGCCCTCCCCTTTCCTAGCCCCCTGCCCACCAAACTATCTTTTAAAACTCCTAGCCTTCAAATTTTCAGAAAGGCTGATTTGACTAATAATAAAACTCCAATCTCCCATTTAGCTGGCTCTGCATGCATTAAACTCTTTCTCTATTGCAATTTCCCTGTCTTAATAAATCGGCTGTATCTGGGAAGCAGGTGAGAAGAAACTGTTTTTGGGTGGTTACAGCACTATTTATCCTGAGGCAAAATTACCTCCAGCTGTGAGCCTGTAAAATCAAATAAGTTTTATATTTCCAAATTGCAATGGTGGAGCAGGCATAAGATAGACATTACCATTCCAATAAATAAATAAATAAATAAATAAATAAGTAACAAAAAAAAAGATAACTGGTCTCAAGTAAGTGCAAATATTAACAGGACAAACAGCATTAAATCTTAAGGTTCCAGAACAACCTTCCTTGACTCCATGTCCCACCACCAAGACACATTGGGGTAGAAATTGAAACCCCAAGGGCTCATGCTGCCCTACCCCCGAAGTTTTGCAGGGTGTACTCATGCAGAAGCTCTCCCATGCTGGAGTTGCATGCTGATAGCTCTACAGTTCTGGGGTCTTAGAGGTAACCCCACCATTGTGACTGCACTAGGCATTGCCCTAGTGAGAACTCTGTGATGACTCCATCTCTGTGGCAGGTTTCTTCCTGGACCCTCAGGCTGTCTGACACACCTTTTAAAATCTAGGTGGAGTCAGCCATTTTTCCACAGCTTGCAAGCTCTGTGAGCCTGCGGAATTAGCACCATGTGGACACTGCAAAGGTTTACAACTTGTGCCCTCTGGAGTGGCAAACCAAACCACACCTGACCCTGCGTGAGCCACAGCTGGAGCAGTGCTGAGGAGCACTGCACTGGAACGCCAGAGTAAAGTCTCAAGGTGGTACTGGGCAGTGAGCCTGTGGAGGGCACCCCAACACTTCCCTGAAAACCATTTTGCCCTCCTAGAGCTCTAGCCCTATGATTTTATTTTATTATATCAATAGAGTCTAAAATAGCATGCTGAACACAGAAAACCATTTCCTGATTATAATATGATTCAAAAAGGAATTTAAATCACAATTTGAAATATAATTCTAAAATGAGAAAAACGAACTAAATCTCATCTACAAAATGTGGTCAGAGAACAACATGTATGAAGACATGGTCACCTATTAATTCCCTTCAGTTATCAAACAAAAATTCATGTATTTACTTTGAAAATATAATACAATACATAATTCAGGATGAAATAGAAGATTCCATAGCTAATAAAAATGTTCTGTGGGTGGTATTTATTTACAGTCATGACTGAGTTTAAACATTCTCTCATTTAACTAGACAATTTATCATTCAGTTAGGATTTTATTTATTAAATATTTATCAAGATATTAATAAGTGTCAGGCACTTGTAAATGCTTAAATACACTTAAATAGATAACTCGATATATATAAGAAAATAGTAAAACAAGGTTAATAAGGAAGTTTTAAAAGAAAGGCAGGAAGGGAAAAACAAAAGCAATGGTGGATGAATGGCAAAGAAACTAGAACTTCTTTCTATTAACAAAATAACTTTATAACAACTTTGTATTTAATTAATTAATTAATTTATTTATTAGTTTTTGAGACAGGGTCTAGCTCTGTCACCCAGGCTGGAGTAGAGTGGTGCAAGCACGGCTCACTGCAGCCTCAACATCTCAGGCTCAGGTGATGATCCTCCCACCTCAGCTTCCCAAGTAGCTGGCACTGCAGGCATGCACCACCATGCTTGGCAAATTAAATTTCTTTTTTTTTTTTTTGAGATGGGGGTCTCTCTTTTTTCCTAGGCTGGACTCAAACTCCTGGGTGGGCTCAAGTGATTCTCCCGTCTATACCTCCCAAAGTTCTGGAATTACAGGTATAAGCCGCCACGCTTGACCACAAAATAATACCTTTATAACAACTTTTTTTTTTTTTTTTTTTTTTTTGAGACGGAGTCCAGCTCTGTCGCCGAGGCTGGAGTGCAGTGGCACCATCTCTGCTCACTGCAACCTCTGACTCCCTGATTCAAGCGATTGTCCTGCCTCAGCCTCCCGACTAGCTGGGATTACAGGCACGCGCCACCACACCCAACTGCCCAGCTAATTTTTGTATTTTTAGTAGAGACGGGGTTTCACCATGTTGGCCAGGATGGTCTCGATTTCCTGACGTCGTGATCCGCCAGCCTCGGCCTCCCAAAGTGCTGGGATTACAGGCGTGAGCCACCGCGCCCGGTCTATAACAACTTTTGTAGTTTCTACAAAGCGTGTTTACTATACCAATGTTTATGATTTCTACATAATAGTATTCAGTTAAAAAAATACTATTGCAATAAAACTTTCTATAATTGAAAAAATGCTTTGATAAATTTCTCCTTTATTTGAGTTTTTCCAAGAATTGTAGAAGAAGGCAATTTATTTGTCCCCTTTGAAGATTATTTCCTTTATTGGAAAAACAGGAGCTTCTGTGGAAAATCTATAGTGGTGACGTAGGCTGCAAATTGCAGCTTCGCTGGCTGTTACTGACTGAAAGACCACTAGAGGGCACTCAAAACACGTGCTCCGGTGATGTGCTTTGTAAGTCATAAAATGGTTGTATTCCCTATCAAGTCCTAATCACAAGAAAATAAGAAAAGTGTTTCTAACTAAAATTGCTTTAACATTTGACTTAATGTTAAAGCAATTAAATTTGTTTGAAAGAACAAAGTGCGAGAAAAATTTTGTTGTACAAATAAAAAAAGGCTCCACTTTAAAAAATTTTCATTTAGAGCGTTTATGCAAATAGCGATATCTAGGTAAACTTTTATACCTGTGATATCAATAGTAGAATAATGAAATAACCGTAATGGAATGATCGCAGGACTTAGAATCAGAATAATAATGATAGATATCATTTATGAGTGCTTAAGAGGTACTACATATTATCCCACAGACTTTATATATAATACTTTATATAATTCACTTACACACACATACACACATATGAAATGTGTTACACTGACTCAAAAATATTGTCAGAAGGGATAATGCAGAGGACCAACGAATTGAAGGCCTTTAAAGTGATCACCAGACACTATGTTGCTAATTGTGTTTTTATAGAAAGTTGTCAGCTCTACAAATTCATATGAACTATGTTAAAACATCACCATTTTGGCCGGGCACGGTGGCTCACACCTGTAATCCCAACACTTTGGGAGGCCGAGGCGGGCAGATCGCGAGGTCAGGAGATCGAGACCATCCTGGCTAACACGGTGAAACCCCGTCTCTACTAAAAATACAAAAAATTAGCCGGGCATGGTGGCAGGCGCCTGTAGTCCCAGCTAGTCGGGAGACTGAGGCAGGAGAATGGTGTAAACCGGGGAGGCGGAGGTTGCAGTGAGCCGAGATCGCGCCACTGCACTCCAGCCTGGGCAACCGAGCGAGACTCCATCTCAAAAAACAAAACAAAACAAAAAAACAAACAAACAAAAAACCCACCACCATTTTAATAGAAAACTTATTTCTATCTAAAATGGCATTTTTCTTGTAAATAACCTTTTACCAAATAGTAAAATGTACTATGTAGTTGTTTATGTCTGCCCTTTGTTTAAATTTTTAGCCACCAAGAAGTAAAACTTTGAATTTTAAAACTAAAGATTCCATAATAGATCATGGTAAGACTGGAACCTGATGGAAAAATGTTCATTAAGTTTCCAAATCATAGTTTTTAGTTCAAATCAATCATTCTACATTAGTTAGAAATATTGGCTGGGTGTGTTGGCTCATGCCTATAATCCCAGCACTTTGGGAGGCTGAGGCGAGTTAATCACTTGAGGTCAGAAGTTCGAGACTAGCCTGGCCAACATGGTGAAACCCTATCTCTACTAAAAATACAAAAATTAAATGGGTGTGGTGGCGCACATCTGTTATCCTAGCTACTTGGGAGGCTGAGGCAGGAGAATCGTTTGAACCTGGGATGTGGTGGTTGCAATGAGCCGAGGAGATCAGCCACTGTACTCCAGCCTGGGCAACAGAGTGAGACTCTGTCTCAAAAAAAAAAAAAAAAAGAAAGGAAGGAAGGCAGGAAGGCAGGAAGGCAGGAAGAAAGAAAGAAGAAAGAAAGAGGCCGGGCGCAGTGGCTCAGGCCTGTAATCCCAGCACTTTGGGAGGCTGAGGCGGGCGGATCACAAGGTCAGGAGATTGAGACCATCCTGGCCAACATGGTGAAACCCCATCTCTACGAAAAATACAAAAAATTAGCCGGGCATGGCGGCATGCACCTGTAGTCCCAGCACTTGGGAGGCTGAGGCAGGAGAATGGCATGAACCCCAGCCCGAGCAACAGAGTGAGACTTCGTCAGAAAAACAAACAAACAAAAAACAAAACGAAAGAGAGAGAGAGAGAACGAAAGAACGAACGAAAGAAAGAGGGAGAACTGCACTCCATCCTGGGTGACAGAGTGAGACTCTGTCGAAAAAACAAGAAAGAAAGAGAGAGAGGAGGAAGGGAGGGAGGGAGGAAGGAAAAAAGGAAGGAAGGGAGGGAGGGAGGGAGGGAGGGAGGAAGGAAGAAAGGAAGGAAGGAAGGGAGGGAGGAAGGAAGGGATGGAGGGAGGGAGGAATGAAGGAAGGAAGGGAGGGAGGAAGGAAGGGAGGGATGGAGGGAGGGAGGAAGGAAGGGAAAAGAAAATTCATGAAAAGGTTTATGGTCAACATTACCTTATTCTGTTGCCCATGAAATAATGTTAAGAACATACTCAACCTGTCACTGTCTCTATTGTTGTGAGGCCTCACAACTGTCAGATTTTATCCCCACTTTATTCATGAGAAAACCAAGGTTCAGAGAGTTTAAGTTTCTTTTTTTTTTTTTTTTTTTTTTTTTGCTTTCTCAATTTCTTTAATTCTCTGTGAGGAGAAAAAGTTAATTTGAAGATGTTCTAGACCCCTATATTCAACCTCAGGATTTTGTTCTGAGTCATGATCTGGTGAATTTGGTCAAGACACAAAGGAAAGGAATAAAGATGCCAAAACATACAGAAAAGAGGCTCACAAATGTTGGCTAAGAGGGTTTAAGAACTAAGAGGAGACCCTCTAGTTTTTGTTTGTTTGTTTGTTTGTTTCTTGAAACTGAGTCTTACTCTGTTGCCCAGGCTGGAGTGCTGTGGTGCAACCTTGGCTCACTGCAACCTCCGCCTCCCAGGTTCAAGCCATTCTCCTGCCTCAGCCTCCCGAGTAGCCGGCATTACAGGTGCAAGCCATCACCCTTGGCTAATTTTTGTATTTTTAGTACAGACAGGGTTTCACCATGTTGGTCAGGCTGGACTTGAACTCCTGACCTCAAGTGATCCGCCCACCTTGGCCTCCCAAAGTGCTGGGATTACAGGCATGAGCCACCATGCCCAGCTGACTCCCTAGCTTATTTATTTATTTATTTATTTATTTATTTATTTATTTATTTTTATTATTATACTTTAAGTTCTAGGGTACATTTGCACAACGTGCAGGTTTGTTACATATATATACATGTGCCATGTTGGTGTGCTGCACCCATTAACTCGTCATTTACATTAGGTATATCTCCTAATGCTATCCCTCCCCCATCCCCCTACCCCACAACAGGCCCGGGTGTGTGATGTCCCCCTTCCTGTGTCCAGGTGTTCTCATTGTTCAATTCCCACCTATGAGTGAGAACATGCGATGTTTGTTTTTTGTCCTTGCTATAGTGTGCTGAGAATGATGGTTTCCAGCTTCATCCATGTCCCTACAAAGGACATGAACTCATCATTTTTTATGGCTGCATAGTATTCCATGATGTATATGTGCCACATTTTCTTAATCCAGTCTGTCCTTGTTGGACATTTGGGTTGGTTCCAGGTCTTTGCTATTGTGAATAGTGCCACAATAAACATATGTGTGCATGTGTCTTTATAGCAGCATGATTTATAATCTTCTGGGTATATACCCAGTAATGGGATGGCTGGGTCAAATGGTATTTCTAGTTCTGGATCCCTGAGGAATCGCCACACTGTCTTCCAGAATGGTTGAACCAGTTTACAGTCCCACCAACAGTGTAAAAGTGTTCCTATTTCTCCACATCCTCTCCAGCACCTGTTGTTTCCAGACTTTTGAATGATCTCCATTCTAACTGGTGTGAGATGGTATCTCATTGCGGTTTTGATTTGCATTTCTCTGATGGCCAGTGATGATGAGCATTTTTTCATGTGTCTGTTGGCTGCATAAATGTCTTCTTTTGAGAAGTGTCTGTTCATATCCTTCGCCCACTTGTTAACTGGGTTGTTTGTTTGTTTCTTGTAAATTTGTTTGAGTTCATTGTAGATTCTGGATATTAGCCCTTTGTCAGATGAGTAGATTGCAAAAATGTTCTCCCATTCTGTAGGTTGCCTGTTCACTCTGATGGTAGTTTCTTTTGCTGTGCAGAAGCTCTTTAGTTTAATTAGATCCCATTTGTCAATTTTGGCTTTTGTTGCCATTGCTTTTGGTGTTTTAGACATGAAGTCCTTGCCGATACCTATACCCTGAATGGTATTGCCTAGGTTTTCTTCTAGGCAATGGTTAGATGGTTTTAGGTCTAACATTTAAGTCTTTAATCCACCTTGAATTAATTTTTGTATAAGGTGTAAGGAAGGGATCCAGTTTCAGCTTTCTACATATGGCTAGCCAGTTTTCCCATCACCATTTGTTAAAGAGGGAATCCTTTCCCCATTTCTTGTTTTTGTCAGGTTTGTCAAAGATCAGATAGTTGTAGATGTGTGGTATTATTTCTGAAGGCTCTGTTCTGTTCCATTGGTCTATATCTCTGTTTTGGTACCAGTACCATGCTGTTTTGGTTACTGTAGCCTTGTAGTATAGTTTGAAGTCAGGTAGCATGATGCCTCTAGCTTTGTTCTTTTGGCCTAGGATTGACTTGGCGATGCAGGCTCTTTTTTGGTTCCATATGAACTTTAAAGTAGTTTTTTCCTATTCTGTGAAGAAAGTCATTAGTAGCTTGATGGGGATGGAATTGAATCTATAAATTACCTTGGGCAGTATGGCCATTTTCACGATATTGATTCTTCCTACCCATGTGCATGGAATGTTCTTCCATTTGTTTGTATCCTCTTTTATTTCATTGAGCAGTGGTTTGTAGTTTTCCTTGAAGAGGTCCTTCATATCCCTTGTAAGTTGGATTCCTAGGTATTTTATTCTCTTTGAAGCAATTGTGAATGGGAGTTCACTCATGATTTGGCTCTCTGTTTGTCTGTTATTGGTGTATAAGAATGCTTGTGATTTTTGCACATTGATTTTTGTATCCTGAGACTTTGCTGAAGTTGCTTATCAGCTTAAGGAGATTTTGGGCTGAGACAATGGGGTTTTCTAGATATACAATCATGTCATCTGCAAACAGGGACAATTTGACTTCCTCTTTTCCTAATTGAATACCCTCTATTTCTTTCTTCTGCCTGATTGCCCTGGCCAGAACTTCCAACACTATGCTGAATAGGAGTGGTGAGAGAGGGCATCCCTGTCTTGTGCCAATTTTCAAAGGGAATGCTTCCAGTTTTTGCCCATTCAGGATGATATTGGCTGTGGGTTTGTCATAAATAGCTCTTATTATTTTGAGATACATCCCATCAATACCTAATTTATTGAGAGTTTTTAGCATGAAGGGTTGTTGAATTTTGTCAAAGGCCTTTTCTGCATCTATTGAGATAATCATGTGAGTTTTTGTCATTGGTTCTGTTTATATGCTGGATTACATTTATTGATTTGCATATGTTGAACCAGCCTTGCATCCCAGGGATGAAGCCCACTTGATCATGGTGGATAAGCTTTTTGATGTGCTGCTGGATTCAGTTTGCCAGTATTTTATTGAGGATCTTTGCATCGATGTTCATCAGGGATATTGGTCTATAATTCTCTTTTTTTGTTGTGTCTCTGCCAGGCTTTGATATCAGAATGATGCTGGCCTCATAAAATGAGTTAGGGAGGATTCCCTCTTTTTCTATTGATTGGAATAGTTTCAGAAGGAATGGTACCAGCTCCTGCTTGTACCTCTGGTAGAATTTGGCTGTGAATCCATCTGGTCCTGGACTTTTTTTTGGTTGGTAAGCTATTAATTATTGCCTCAATTTCAGAGCCTGTTATTGGTCTATTCAGAGATTCAACTTCTTCCTGGTTTAGTCTTGGGAGGGTGTATGTGTCGAGGAATTTATCCATTTCTTCTATATATTCTAGTTTATTTGCGTAGAGGTGTTTATAGTATTCTCTGATGGTAGTTTGTATTTCTGTGGGATCGGTGGTGATATCCCCTTTATCATTTTTTATTGCATCTATTTGATTCTTCTCTCTTTTCTTCTTTATTAATCTTGCTAGCAGTCTATCAATTTTGTTGCTCTTTTCAAAAAACTAGCTCCTGGTTTCATTGATTTTTTGAAGGGTGTTTTGTGTCTCTATCTCCTTCAGTTCTGCTCTGATCTTAGTTATTTCTTGCCTTCTACTAGCTTTTGAATGTGTTTGCTCTTGCTTCTCTAGCTCTTTTAATTGTGATGTTAGGGTGTCCATTGTAGATCTTTCCCGCTTTCTCTTGTGGGTATTTAGTGCTATAAATTTCCCTCTACACACTGCTTTAAATGTGTCCCAGAGATTCTGGTATGTTGTGTCTTTGTTCTCTTTGGTTTCAAAGAACATCTTTATTTCTGCCTTCATTTCATTATGTACCCAGTAGTCATTCAGGAGCAAATTGTTCAGTTTCCATGTATTTGGGTGGTTTTGAGTGAGTTTCTTAACCCTGAGTTCCAGTTTGATTGCACTGTGGTCTGAGAGACAGTTTGCCGTAATTTCTATTCTTTTACATTTGCTGAGGAGTGCTTTACTTTCAACTATGTGGTCAATTTTTGAGTAAGTGCGGTGTGGTGCTGAGAAGAACGTAGATTCTGTTGATTTGGGGTGGGAGAGTTCTGTAGATGTCTATTAGGTCCACTTGGTGCAGAGCTGAGTTCAATTCCTGGATATCCTTGTTAACTTTCTGTCTCGTTGATCTGTCTAATGTTGATGGTAGGGTGTTAAAGTCTCCCATTATTATTATGTGGGAGTCTAAGTCTCTTTGTAGGTCTCTAAGAACTTGCTTTATGAATCTGGGTGCTCCTGTATTGGGTGCATATATATTCAAGATAGTTAGCTCTTCTTGTTGAATTGATCCCTTTACCATTATGTAATGGCCTTCTTTGTCTCTGTTGACCTTTGTTGGTTTAACGTCTGTTTTATCAGAGACTAGGATTGCAACCCCTGCCTTTTTTTTGTTTTCCATTTGCTTGGTAGATCTTCCTCCATTCCTTTATTTTGAGACTATGTGTGTCTCTGCACGTGAGATGGGTTTCCTGAATACAGCACACTGATGGGTCTTGACTCTTTATCCAATTTGCCAGTCTCTGTCTTTTAATTGGAGGATTTTGCCCATTTACATTTAAGGTTAATATTGTTATGTGTGAATTTGATCCTGTCATTATGATGTTAGCTGGTTATTTTGCTTGTTAGTTTCTTCCTAGCATCAATGGTCTTTACAATTTGGCATGTTTTTGCAGTGGCTGGTACGGGTTGTTCCTTTCCAAGTTTAGTGCTTCCTTCAGGAGCTCTTGTAGGGCAGGCTTCATGGTGAGAAAATCTCTCAGCATTTGCTTGTCTGTGAAGTATTTTATTTCTCCATCACTTATGAAGCTTAGTTTGGCTGGATATGAAATTCTGGGTTGAAAATTCTTTTCTCTAAGAATGTTGAATATTGGCCCCCACTCTCTTCTGACTTGTACAGTTTCTGCCAAGAGATCAGCTGTTAGTCTGATGGGCTTCCCTTTGTGGGTAACCCAACCTTTCTAGAGAGTTTAAGTTTCTTAAAAGTAAAAAGTATAATGGGTTCAAGTACTTATTAAATGTCATCCTTCATATACTTTCCCTTTTGGCTCGGAGGCATAGAATTTCATTGTTCTTATTCATTAAACACCTTCTTGTTATTTTGCTGTGTAATCTTATAAAACTCTTTACACATTCATCCCTCCCCTTAATGGTTAATATTGTATTTAAAGCATTTTTTCCCATGATAGCTATGACTCAGGAAAACTCTACAACATTCACATAACAAACTGAAGTGTTATTTTAGTAAGGCAAGAAGGTCTGATGAATAAAGGCAGCAAAAAGTGAACAGATAATTAAATTGGTGTGCTGACATTGTGATTTTTGTTCTTGGTAGAGGTGTGGCTCAGAGGGCATTCTTGCAGGAGAACATCTCTTCTAGTTCAAAGGACAAGAATTGAGTCTCATCAAATAAAAATGTGAAAACTGTTGAAACTTTATTAATATATGCTTCTCATTTGAGGTAAATCCTTTTAATCCCAGATTCCACATTATGGTCTAGGAAATTATAGTTCTGAAGCCTTGGGCTTTGGCTACCTCTAACCTGTGGTAGAAATCTAAACTAAAAGATCCTGCTGAGAAAAATCTTGAGTTGTATGGACTCCCTAATGCTTGGCACATCAAATAAATAAATAAATAAATAAAATGCTCTAGAAAAATGTATAGAGTATAGTTTGCAGAAAAGTTGTCAACATTGATGAGGGTGGTTGGGCTTCCCTTTTCAAAGAGATGACTTTTAAACAAAGTTCTAAATGAAGAGAAAGAGACACCCCAAATAACACCTCAGAGGGAGGTTTTCTAGGCCTAGGATCATTAAGTCACAGCACAAGCTCAAAAAAGCGAGTGAGCATTGGGTGTTAAAGGAATACAAACAATGTCTTTGTGGATGAAGCCAAGCAAATAAGAAGAAGAATTAAAAGAGATAAAGTCCTAATAGATGAGGCCAAATTCTGTAGGACCTTGCAGGACATGATAAGGAATTTTATTTTTAACCTAATTACTATGGAAGCCATTGGAAGAAAATGATATAATTTGATGTCAATTTGGAGACATTATTCTGACTGCAAATGAACTATTTTAGCTAAGAGTAGAAACAAAGAGACCAACTAGAAGGCTCACATGCAGTCCAGGGAAAGATTGGAGGAAGTTATTAATGAGCGACTGCTAGGTTTGACATATATTTTGCAGCTAATGAACAAGAAGTTGAGTATAAGAACTTGAGAGGAATCAAGTGTAAACCCCAAGGTTGAGCCAGAGCTACTCAGTTGATGGTGATGCCATCAACTTATCTGGAGAAGAGTGACAGGAGAAGACATTTACTGTGTAAAGAAGACATTTACTATGTACCTTACCGATCCACTGGAATATCACTACCCTGAATTCATTTGCTTCCTTGTAAATATTTTTTATTCCTTACTAACACATCACTGGTGTATACAAAATACAAATATATATTAGCTGTGTCCATCATATAGAGTATAAAGCAGTAACAGTAAACAGGAAATTCATATTTTGCTAATATGGATAACATTTGCAAGACACATCCAGATTCAAAATGAACTGAAAATGAAAATATAATCTTATTTAGAGAAACTCTAAATAAACTTTAATGACTGTATAAATTAGAAAATAGTTTACTGATGACAGAAAAATAGGGGAGGGGTAATTTCTTATTTTTCAAAAACGGAGAAAGATGACCTAAAGCACAACATAAAAATTTAATGCTATTGGACAGAATCTCTCGATTTATAAAAAGTAAAAAAAAACGGTAAAATGATCAGATGTATGTACAAAGACATGAGGAAGAAGAATAGGCATGTTAGAAAAAATTATAACAAACACAAGAGTAGAAATAATTCAGGAGCTTTAAAGCTGTGAAATTTTTAAAAACATATCACAGATCCTCTGTCATGATATATTATAAAAGTGAGTGAGGAAAAGGTGCCCTTTAGTAAATTTTTAATGCCGTGACAAATCTTATGATTATGGAAGTTCCTGCTCTTGTAAAACAAAAACAACCAGTGGGAGTCAAAATGGGAAGTTCACTGAGTATTTCAAAAAAAGAGAAGACTTCTGGAAGTAATAAATAAATCTTAAAGCGCTGAAGAAAGGAGTATCGATGCATTAAATAAGATGTGTATGGAAAACTGGAAATAGTCAAGAGTGGCACATAATTGTAAACATCCACCCTGCAAAGAAAGGATAGCTTAATGATTGATCAAATTACCAGGTCTATTTCTCATGTATGCTTTGATCATCCACAGAAAAAAAGAAAGAAAAGAAAACAAAAAGAGAGAGAAGAGGATAGAATTAGAATTGGCACCAACATGTGGTAGAATGAGTTCAACTGACTTGAATTGAGCCGCTTTGAATTGAACTGCATTGAATAAAATTGAATTGAGGGATTTGTACTAATTGTGAATAGCTGGCTGTGTGGGGGAGTGGCTGGGTGACTAGCCAGGAGCTTTATACCAAAGCCAACTATGTGAGATCGCTGCAGAGTGAGTGGAAAAATAAAATGAGGTTTCACTTGTAACAAGAATTAGATATTATGACAATAAAGTATAATCGTTAGACTAGCAGAAGAAAAAGCTATTTAGAGAAAAGGGAAAAAAAGTTGATACAAACAGATTCCATAAAGCAAAGAAAATGAGGACAAAAAAGACACGTAGGGATGAGAAATGTTGAAAAAGAAATCTATTGAAAGATTTAACATATTATTTATTATTTGATTTCACTATTTTCTAATTCATGGATAGATATTACCAACTCTAAGTCGAAATGGCTATTTTTTCTTACAGCAGTTGAATGTGATACACAAATCCTCATTCCCAAATGAGATGAGTCACTAAGGAAGGAATTGTCCATTGATGGCTCTTGAGCAATGGCAGAGCATCTCTGAGTGATCGCATTGAAGTTGACAATGTCCCGTGTCCTTTCTTTATAGCTTCACGTTCACTATTGTTATTGAACCAAACTGGGGTCCACAAGCCCAGCACAGGAAGAGCAGATATCCATACCAAGGTTTGCAGTGGGAAAAGGAAGGTGTTTAATTGCAAGGCGTCAAGCTGGGAAAATTGGGCAGCTCATGCTTAAGACCTGAGCTCCCAGTTGGCTTACAGGTAAGGATTTTTAAATGTGGGGGAGTGGGGAGGCAGAGGCTACAGGCAAAGTAATAAATCAACACATGAAGGCTACATTGGCTTGACCTAAAAAGGAAGGACATCTAGAAGTGGGGACCCACAGATCATAAGTGGATTCAAAGATTTTCCAATTTTAATTGGTTAAGGAAGCCAAGATTTGCCTAAAAATTTGAGATCAGCAGAAAAGAATGTTAGCTCTGGCTCATGGGCATGACCTCATCCAGGAGTCTAAGGAAGAAATTCAGAACAAAGAACTGTAGTCAGAGTTTGGTCTTCAGTTCCCCCCTATCTGAGGTCTGTGTGCCAATAGATCCACGTCATGTGGGTCTGAGTTTCTGAAGACAACACAGGGACATATATGTTAAGATGCTTTCTTTAGTTTCTTTCTTTCTTTTTTTTTTTTTTTTATTTTGAGACACAGTCTCACTCTCTTGCCCAGGCTGGAGTGCAGTAGTGAGATCTCAGCTTACTGCAACTTCCGCCTCCTGGATTCAAGCAATTTTCCTGCCTCAGCCTCCTGAGTAACTGGGATTACAGGCGTGCACCATCATGCCTTGCTAATTTTTGTATTTTTAGTAGAGATGGGGTTTCACCATGTTGGTCAGGCTGGTCTCGAATTCCTGACCTCTAGTGATCTGCCCACCTTGGCCTCCTAAAATTCTAGGATTACAGGCATGAGCCCCTGCACCTGGTCACTTTCTTTAGTTTCTATAAGGAACTTAACATTCTCGTGATTCTAACTCTGTTGGCTATTGTTTTAAGCTACTATTACCTTCCCGCTTATTAAGTTGCTGATTTATGTCTCAAGGCTAGCTAGGTGCCTGGGATTTCTCTTTAAGAAACTTAAGATTTTCCTTTATTTCTATGCTTGGAGACCTCACAGGCCCCTAAGAGGGGTCCCTGCTCCATCCATTTCACTGTCTTCCTAAATTTAGAAGAACAAGAATGATGAAAATCTGAGTTAGCTGTCTCATAAGTGTTAACTAGGAGCAAAGCATATTTGCTTAGAAATTTCTTCTTCCAGATACCCTAAATCATCTCACTGAAGTTCAAAGTTCCACATATCTCTAGGGCAGGGGCAAAAAGCTTCCAGTCTCTTTACTAAAACATAACAAGTTTCACCTTTGCTCCAGTTCCCAACAAGTTCCTCATTTCCATCTGAGTCCACCTCAGCCTGGATTTCATTGTCCATATTATTATCAGTATTTTGATCAAGGCCATTCAACAAGTCTTTAGGGTATTCCAAACTTTTCCATGTTTTTCTGTCTTCTTTTGAGCCCTCCAGACTGTTCCAACCTCTGCCTGCTACCCAGTTCCAAATTCAATTACACATTTTTGGGTATCTTTTCAATAGTGTCCCACTCCTGGTACCAATTTCCTGTATTAGTCCATTTTCATGCAATTGATAAAAACATACTCGAGACTGGGCAATTTACAAAAGAAAGAGGTTTAATGTACTCACATTTCCACATGGCTGGAGAGGCCTCACCATCATGACAGAAGGTGAAAGGCATGTCTCACATGGTGGCAGATAGGAGAAGAGAACTTGCGCAGGGAAACTCCCTTTATAAAACCATCAGATCTTGTGGGACTTATTTACTATCACAAGAATACCATGGAAAAGACTTGCCTTCATGATTCAATTATCTCCCACTGGATCCCTCCCACAACACATGGGAATTATAGGAGCTACAATTCAACATGAGATTTGGGTGGGGACACAGCCAAACCATATAACCCTGGAAGACAACCTATGTAGCATCATTCAGGACATAGGAAGAGGCAAAGATTTCATGATAAAGACAAAAGCAATTTTGCAGCAAAAGCAAAAATTGACAAATGGGATCTAATTAAACTTGCCAGGGTCTGACCCACAGACCCAGGCTGTGTGACAGATGAATAACATACTCAGACACCAATATTCAGTGAAAGCGGGCCAGGGGGCTGGACCACTCACAGAAAGAGTTGTGGCAGCTGTGCACCCTAACTAGCTGGCCCTGCAGGCATTTATTCAGCACTGATTTAATGACAAAGGCTTTGAGTCAGCACATCTGTGGGTAATTAATTGGGTTGGCCTCCCCCCGGGAGATCAGTCCTGCCCATGAATGACCAAAGGTCAGTCTTAAGACCACATAAGTAAAAAAGCTCTTCAGATAAACTCCCTTACATCCCTTTGTACCTACTCTAAACTATTAGTTGAAGGTAAGATGATTAGGCTGCTTTCAACCATAACCCTATCCTGAGGCTTTTGCAAAACCTTCCGGCCTTCCAAGAAGGTTTGTGTCTTTCTACAATTTTTCCCACCACCCTGACTGAACTCCTACGTAAACTAAAGAGCTTCTGCACAGCAAAGGATGCTGTCAAAAGTGAAACACACAGCTGATAAAAAGAGAGAAAACTCTTGCAAACTGTGCATCTAACAAAGGTCTAATATCCAACATCTATAAGGAATTTAAATCTACAAGAGAAAAACCAAACCACCCCATTACAAAATGGGCAAAGGACATGAACAGACACTTTTCAAAAGAAGACATACATGTGATCAACAATCATACGAAAAAAAGCTCAATATCACTGATCATTAGAAAAATGCAAATCAAAACTACAATGAGGTATTATCTCATGCCAGACAGAATGGCTATTATTAAAAAGTCAAAAACTAACAGATGCTGGTAAAGCTTCTGAGTAAAAAGAATGGTTATATGCTGTTGGTGGATGTGTAAATTAGTTCAATAATTGTGGAAGAGTGTGGCAATTTATCAAAAACCTGAAAACAGAAATACCCTTTGACTCAGCAATCCCAGTACTGGGTACTTGCCCAGAGGAATATAAATTATTCTATTATAGACACATGCACATGTATGTTCATTGCAGCGCTATTCACAATAGATAAGACATGGAATCAACCTCAATGCCCATCAATGATAGATTAGATTTTTAAAAATGTGGTACATATGCACTATGGAATACTATGCAGCCATTAAAAGAATGACATCATGTCCTTTGCAGGAACATGAATGGAACTGAAGGCCATAATCTTTAGCAAACTAATGCAGGAATAGAAAACCAAATACCACATGTTCTCACTTATAAATGGGAGCTGAATGATGAGAACGCATGGACACAATAAGGGAAATCACGCACACTGTGGTCTATCAGAGGATGGAAAGGGGGAAGAGGGAGAGGATCGGGAAAATTAACTAATGGGCACTAGGCTTAATACCTGAGTGATGAAGTAATCTGTACAACAACCCTCTGTGACACAAGTATATCTACATAACAAACCTGCACATGTACCCCTGAACTTAAAAATCTTGGTTTTGTCACAACTCAAAGTGGCATCAACATATTTACAAACTAGGAGACTCATTTTTTATCTGTAATTTGAGAAGTATAAATTACAATGATTTCTTCCTATTTTAGCTCAGACATTCTCTACATCACATTATCTTTTGTATTTTTTTTTTTTTGCACAGGAATACTTTCCATTGTTATACTGGTAGTGAAAATTAATATTAATGCAGCATATGTATATTACAAATAACTGGTTCCTAGAATATAAAAAACAGTAATGTGTCAGGAAGATAAGCATATCCTAATATTAAATATTTTTTATTGAAGGATTCTAATAACTTACAGCAAATGAAATATTTTGATCCACTTTAAAATGCAGTTTTAAATCATTCATGAAATGTTAGCAGAATTGCAAATATATGACACTTAAGTATCAGTCACAGAGACTGGCAATCTATGGCTGTGGTCAAAATTCAGTCAATTGCTCATCTTTCTAAACAAAGTTTTATTGGAACACTACTACATCCATTTGTTTATGAATTGCTTATACCTACTTTTGCTGTATCATGGCAGAGTTGGCTAGTTTTGAGAGAGACCTTATGGTCTTATGGTCTGCACAGACTTAAATATACAACCTGGTCTTTTACAAAAATATTTGCCTATCTTTATTTTATTTTATTTTGAAATAAAATATACCACCATCATTGTTACTACAATGAGTAATTTTTATGTTAGGATAAATAGTACAAATATTTACTGAATATAAAGGCTATACTGAAAAAGAATACATCATGGTGCAATTTGATACAATAGACTTTAAAAAATTTTGAAGCTTTCACCTTGCTTAATATTTGCTCTGTTTTCTACCCTAAGCAAGTACTGCAGCTGCAATCTCAATCAACAACTTAGCCTTCTTAAAGTAACTTTGTAGGCTTCCCCTTCCTGTTGCATTGTTATAATTATATGGGTTAAATGCCTTAGAGATTTATCAGTCTTAAAATCATAGATTATTTATAAATCATTGCTTTGTTTTTTTTTGTATTGCCCCTTACATTTTATTTCAAAGAAAATTAAGAACAAAAAATTATTTTATTAAAAATGAATTTAATCAGAGACACTTTTCTATTTTAAGAATACAATATTGAAGGCTTGCTTGGGTTCAAATTCTGTTATTAACAGTAAAGTAAGAAGTGATGCATTTGTGTTTCTGTGACCCAGTGTCTCTGCATGGGATCTGGGGTGTGGTAGAAATGGGTTGATGAGGGGAAAGGCAAAGTCCAAAGGGAAAAATTTCCCAGGCACATGGCAAGCCCCAGAAGTGATGGGCATAATTCTTTCAGAAAATCCAGTGTAGTGTTCTCCCTAAGGCCATAATGAAGTAAAATATTTTAATGATATGTTTGTGGATATCATCTACAGAAAAAAAGTGATGGTCTTGCAAGGAATGTGGGACCCATGAAGAATTATGCAGCAAAATTTGGGTATATAATTATATTTTTTAATCTTTAAAAATACAAGGTGCTTGAAATTGAGCATGAGTCTTTATTATGCTGTAATATATAAGTGGCCATTTTGCTACTAATATTTTTTACCTTTGTGCTTAACTTTCTCGATTCTTTTTTCCTTAACTTTAGTGTTGACACATGAGATATCAAATATCAAAAAATCTATACTTAAGTCTGACAGTGCATTTACATGCACTTAAGTGTATTTATCTGGAAAGCCCTTAAAACTCCCTGATTTGTACATAGATAGTTTTTTAAAAGTAATGTTCCCAATTATTCATTAGCTAATTTTTGATTATTATGGTCTAGTAGATAATTCCAAGGCCTTCCTTATTTACTTCTTCAAAAAAAAAGGGTATTTCCTTCAGTCACTATTAATATTATATTTAGAATACACTCAAATTCCAAAACTGTGCAGTAACAGAAATAGAGGAGAATTTAACACTTTGCAAAAGTATAGTATTTCTTGTGAACTGAAGCTAATTGGCCTACACAATGAATATGTATTTAGTTATATCTGGCAATAACTATATCACAATTCTTTTATAGTTAGATCAAGTTAGGACTTATACAATAAACAAGATGGTGATATGCAGAACCCTTAAAATGAGTCAGGGTTGGGAAGAATGGGAAAGATCAAGTCACAAAGTGGCAACACATATTTTCATATAAGGGGTCATTATTTTTAAGACATAAAACATATCAGTGTGCAATATATAGTCATATAATTTCTTGAGTTCCACCTAGAGTGGTTGCCTAAACTTTTCTTGTACAATTGATTAGAAGTTTTAATGTAATTCTTGCAAATCCTCCTTGAAGCCAGCAATTATAGCAACCCTAATTTCATATAATGTTATATATCAAGATAAATATTATGTTAATTATTATGAATGCGAACACCTGGGTAATCTTTGAAATATTAATTCATTGTGCTTCTTAGACACTAGAGGAAGTGTCTGACTTAAAGGCAGCAACACTTTATAATTCTAATGCAGGACAAATAATTTTATGATATGTTAAAATTTTCCTACTAAAAAATAATCTTTATGTTGATATCAAAGTGTGGTATCCAGAGAAAGTAAGTAACATCATTCTAGGATGCCAACTTTCTTGCTAAAATTTTAATTTCCATGATTAGCATTCAATTCCTAAAATCTCTGTAGTCTGATTTTCATTTATGCATTTATTCATTTAACAACTTACATTCTGTTGGTGACATTCACATAACATTTTCTACTAGGAATTAATCTTTTAAACCTTTTATAGGTTTTTCGTGTTTGTCCCCATTTCTCCATGTTTGAAGGGTAATTTTTCTGGATATAATATTCTGGATTATATATAATATTAAATATTATAACTCTATAATATTGAAAGAATTTTCCCTTCAGTTCTTAGAATATGTCATCCCCCTTTCTTCTAGCCTGTAATGTTTCCACTGAATATTTTGCTGCCAGATGTATCAAATCTCCTTTACATGTTATTTGCTTCTTTTCTGTTGTTGCTTTGAGATCCTTTCTTTATTCTTGACCTTTGTAAGTTTGATTATTATATGCCTTGAGGTAGTCTTATTTGGGTTGAATCTTCTCTGTGTGTTTTGACTTTCTTTCACAACAATCTCTCTTCTACCCCAATCTCTCTCTCTACCTCTACTTTAAGGTAAAAAAACTCTTGGATGTGCCCTTTGGAGGCTATTTTCTAGATCTTGTTAGTGTTCTTCCTTCTTTTTCAAATTCTCTTTTCTCCTCTGACTCTGTATTTTCATATAACCTGATGAGCTCACTAATTCTTCTGCTTGATCAATTCTGCTATTGGGAGACTATGATGCACTTTTCAGTTTATCAATAGAATTTTTCAGCTCTAGAATTTCTGCTTTTTTATTATTTCAATTTCTTTGTTAAATATCTCCCATAGGATTCTTAATTCCTTCTCTGTGTTATCTTGAATTTCACTGAGCTTCCTTAAGACAATTATTTTGAATTCCCTGACTGAGAGGTCACATATATGTCACTCTGGGATTGGACTCTGGTGCCTTATTTAGTTTATTTGGTGAGGTCGTGTTTTCCTGATGTGCTTAATACTTGTGGACATTTGTCAATGTCTGGGCATCAGCGAGTTAGGTATTTATTCTAATCATTATAGTCTGAACTTGTTTATACCTGTCCTTCTTTGGAGGGATTTCCAAGAATAGAAGAATAGAAGCTTTCCAGCTTCTATTTTAGAAGCTGAATACTTGCTGTAACCATGCTCTTGGACTTTCCAGCCACCATAATTGTGAGCCAAACAAACCTTTTTTCAAAGGGCATTGAGTGTTGTAACCTAAACCTATAGTCACTGAAGCCATTTCTGCACTATGGGGTGCTGTAAACCCAGGAACACTGCATCTTTCAGTCTCCTCGATAAACAACCTTCGTGGACTTAGGGAAGATGGGAAAATTTTCTGGCTTACCAGGAAAAATGTCTAATACTGTTTTTTCCTTTGACCTTTTGGTGCTCATGAAGATGCTTTCTGTGTCAATATTTGTTTGATTTGATGCTCCTGGAGAGGAATGATAACTGGAGCGTTCTATTTGGCCATTTTGTTAAACCCTTCTTCCTCTTTTGTGTATTTTAACCCATTAATTTAACACTGTAACCTATGAGATAAAAACTATTATGAATAGGTTAATCTTCTCCACACCAAATTGAAAAGTGACAATGCTAATTCTTGAAATTCGGATGTTGGTTTCATAGTCTTTGTTTTATACCACTGCATTATTGGCAGCATATGAAGCATGCAGGAATGAATATATTTTAAAAGGCAGAGATCCAGTAATAAAAGTTGTATTCATTTACTAAAGTCCTGAAAGACATTTTAGTTTCTAATGCTGTGCAAAATTTTAATATTGTAAACTGTGAGTTTTTTAACTTTGAAATACATCTATGCCTTAGTAAGGCTAACCTGTAAATTGCCAGAGTACTTAGCGCTTAACAATTTCTTACTACAATTCTAACTAATTTTTATAAATTCCAAAGAGAGAAATTCTTATTTCCTGTATACTGGGAGGAAATATTTAGATATTGGCAGGATATTTAGGTAATCATAAGCTATGGTTTGAGTGTCCCCACCAAACTCATGTTGGAACCTTACTACCCAGTGCACCAATGTTGCGAGGTAAAACCTTTAGAGGTGTGACCTGCCTAATGGGAGGCATTTGGGTCATGGGGCTCCACTTTCATCAATGGCTTGATGTCACTCTTACAGTACTGAATGAGTTTTTTGCTCTTGCTCTCACTCTTAAGGGACTCATTAGTGACTGCACTAATCCATGGGAGTGGATTAGTTCCTGCAAGAGCAGGTAGTTATAAAGAAAGGATGCCCCTCATGGTTTTCCCCTTCATATGTGTCCACTTTCCTTTTGACCTTCTACAATGTTATGACACAGCACAAAAGCCCTCACTAGAAGCTGGACTGATGCTGGCACCATGCTCTTGGACTTTCCAGCCACAAAAATTGTGAGCCAAACAAACCTATTTTCTTTAAATATTACCCAGCCTTAGGTATTATGGTATAGCAACACAAAGTGAATGAAGACATATACTTTCAAATGCTACCCATGGGTGTGAGAGGCAAGGTGTGTTTAAAATTATACCTATTAATGTGAAATACTCTTCAAGTACTTTATATTCCCCAAATGGCTTAATGAGTTGCATTCAATATATCAACACAGGTCCACCCCTGTCAGGAGACAGAAACAACCGATAGGTTTTTATATGAAGAATTATTAACTAAGAATACTGTTGCTGTTAACTAGGCTATTGAAGAAGCAATCAGAGAACACTAGGTTAGCAGAGAGGAAGTAACTGCAACTGAGCTAAGACTCAGGAAACAAAGAAAGGAGATTGGAACATTAAAAATTGAAAAATTTAGAGAAGGGGTACTGTAGAGCTGAAACTCAAATCTCTGAGAAGCGTGTGTTCCCTGATGATGTTAGAGTTTTTGAGATAACAGAAGGAACTCATGGGTCTGGGATTTTAGGAGGGAGAGGCAGTTGGTGATGGCTCCAGATAGAAGCATTCTTCTATGGAGAACTAAGATGTGCATTCAGTGAAAGTCAAAGTTGAGACTCACCCACTTCCACCTCCTGATTTTCAGAACAGTGTACTGCATTCTGGCTTATTGCCCCTTCTTCGCCCCTGCTTCCAGCAGGAAGCAGCTAGCCGCTCTGAGTGCAGGGTCCCCCGAGCCCACGCCCACCCAGAACTCACGCTGGCCCACAAGCACCGCACACAGCCCTGGTTCCCGCCCGCGCCTCTCCCTCCACACCTCCCGCAAGCTGAGGGAGCCGGCTCTGGCCTTAGCCAGCACAGAAAGGGGCTCCCACAGTGCAGTGGCGGGCTGAAGGGCTCCTCAAGTGCCACCAAAGTGGGAGCCCAGGCAGAGGAGGTGCCGAGAGCGAGTGAGGGCTGTGAGGGCTGCCAGCACGCTGTCACCTCAATTCTCTTAGAATGTTGTTATTTTTGTTACTGGCACTGTAAGTGATTCTTGATTAGTTCATTTCACCTTTCTATTAGGACAACTGCTTCTAGAAGGGGCCCTGCAGTTGTAGTGTCCTCCAGATGGGAGCTCTCCAGACCAGGGGAAGTGCCAGAGGGTGGGTAGAAGTTGTTAGTTGAGACAATTCTTCTTTTTCCAACGTGGCCCAGGGAAACTAAAGGATTGGACACCCCTACTATAGAATCATTATCCCTTTTTGGAGTAGCCCAGTGTCAGATCTATATTGATTCTTGAGAAGTTGCTACTAATTTACATGAATGAGGATGTCATAAAAAGAACAGGACATAAAGATTAGTTAGAGAACCTTTGTGTCCACACTCTATATCTAGCTAATCTACTGGGGACGTGGAGAACCTTTGCATCTAGCTCAGGGATTGTAAATGCACCAATCAGCGCCCTGTCAAAACAGACCACTCGGCTCTACCAATCAGCAGGATGTGGGTGGGGCCAGATAAGAGAGTAAAAGCAGGCTGCCCGAGCCAGCAGTGGCAACCCGCTCGGGTCCCCTTCCACACTGTGGAAGCTTTGTTCCTTCTCTCTTTGCAATAAATGTTGCTGCTGCTCCCTCTTTGGGTCCACACTGCCTTTATGAACTGTAATACTCACCGCGAAGTTCTGCAGCTTCACTCCTATGGTCCTATTGGAGTCTCAGCTTTAAAAATGTAGCAATAATAGAGTCCCCAAAATCTCATCATCTAAATAAAGTCCAAGTAGTCCAAGTATTGATTGTTTCCCTGGGTGTCATTATTTAAGTAGATCCTGTGGTACTGTTTCATCTGTCCATGAACTTTTGAAACTAAAGAGACAAGTTATCTGCCATTCCACACCCAGTATTTGATGGGTAAGGAGTATAGGTTACAGCTATAGACATCTTCCTTTAAAACTGAGTGGAAATGAATGGTAAAATATGCTGGTCCATAGCAGTTTTGAAATACAACCTGGAAAATATTGGGAGTTTCTTGATTAGGTTTTTTGTTTGTTTGTTGTTTGGTTGATTAGTTGGTTGTTTGTGTTTGTTTTGAGATGGAGTTTCGCTCCTGTTGCCCAGGTTGGAGGGCAATGGCACAATCTCGGCTCACTGCAACCTCCGCCTCCTGGGTTCAAGCGATTCTCCTGTCTCAGCCTCCCGAGTAGCTGGGATTACATGCACATGCCACCACGCCTGGCTAATTTTTACATTTTTAGTAGAGACGAGGTTTCATCATATTGGTCAGGTTGGTCTCAAACTCCTGACCTCAGGTAATCTGCCCACCTCGGCCTCCCAAAGTGCTGGGATTACAGGCATGAGCCACCACACCCGTCCTCTTGATCAGATTTTAAGAATAATGAATAACTTTACTAAAAATAAAAATCTCTCTCTTTTTTCTAATGATTTCTGTTTTGTGTATAATATAATATGGCTCCATTTTCTGGGCTCTTGACTCTGCTCTCTGGGTTCTTGATTTTACCTTCTGAATCTTTTCTTTTTTATGAAAGGCAACATGTGCTTGCAGCTGAGTAGATTTATCAGCCTGCTTTGTGTCAGAAACTCGAGACTCTGAAAGACTCCTTTCTTTTCATAATTGGTTTCTTTCAATTCAAACTGGTTGTGTCCCCACTGAAATAATTTTCTCAAGAATCATGTGGGTTTCTTTTGAATTTCAATGGAATTCACTCCATTAAACCAAATTTATACCTACATATTTTTTTTGAGATAACTCCTTGTCGAACCTTCTGCTGAGATGGTTGAGAGACCACAACTTAAACCACTTAGAGACCGTATGGTTTTAGAGAATCTGTAAAGTACATCCTTAGTCACTCAACAGGTCCCATTGTATAACTGAATACCCTAATCGTTTACTTTTTATGTGATGTCAGTAAAGGTTTTATAGTCATATCTTTGACATTTTCTCTAAAGCATATTATGCCAGCAAGAATTTTTATTTTTCTTTCTTTTCCCATTTGGAGAGATTGATAATTTTAAAAATTACCAAGCCGTGGCTCCTTTTTGTTTAAGTTTTTCACTCAGTTAATTATTACCCTCTTGTATTTTACTGTAGGATACAAAACAACAACAAAAAACAGGTGACACCTTAAAAACTTCCCTTGGAATTTCCTGCAATATATTAATAAGTTCATCACTTTTGCCAATTATTATGCCATCTTGTATGTTAAATGCTCATGTATACATCTCTTATTGACACTGATACTTGAAAAATAATCTCCATAATATTATCATAGACTAAAAAATGTCTAAACTGCTTTACTCCATTCTAAAAATAGTATTAAGTATGTTCCTTAGTCATTGAGGAAACACAAATTATAAGATTTCTACCACTAGACTTATCTCAGATCTTAACTTGAAAAAATTATCTGTAAAGAAGGATTTGTGTTAGTCTGAATCAACTTTTATTCTGTTGTCTACACCAAAATACAATTGTTTTATTTAAAAGAGATGATAAATAAATGGGATTTTTTACTTATGAAAAGCCTTTAAGCAAATCAGTATTTTCTTTTAAATTTTCCAAATGTCTGCTGCTTATTCTGTGATGTGATATGATCTGTGTGTGTGTGTGTGTGTGTGTGTGTTGTGAATACAGACAGGAGCAAAGATGAGTGAGTGTATGGCTCAGACGTGACCCAGATTACTGAAGGCTGCCACAGTATTGCCTTTTGGTAATTCAGAGTTTGTTTTACAAATATCCTTTAAGAATTTTTATAGGATTTGGGCTAGTAAAAGTCACTGCATTTCCTTCATGGTAAGTAAGAACCGATATCTGAGGAGACATAGCCTTATACCCTTACCTGTCTTCAGACCTGTTATCAATTCTGCCACCTCAGTGGCATGCAATATCTCTACCTGTCTTCTGAATCTTGCACAACAATACTTGAAGTTCATAAAGTTTGTGACAACTTACTACTAGGGTTTACCCCGGAGTACTTCTCACTCTCATCCTAAAAGCATGTGGAGAATGTGCTTGGATTACAGGCATTTATGTTGTCAACCTAATTATTACAGACAAGATTGCATACCAAAGTGAATAATCCAATATTTCAAATTTCTAAGTGAAACAAATTATAATTAAGAGAATTCCCACATGACTCTATCAGGCCATTCTTGCATTGCCATAAAGAAATACTTGAGACTGGGTAATTTATTAAAAACAAAATAGAGGTTTAATTGTCTCACAGTTCTGCAGGCTGTACAGGAAGCATGATGGCATCTGCTTCAGGGGAGCTTTTACTCATGGCAGAAGGTGAAGTGGGAATGGAAACTTCATATGACAACAGTAGGAGCAACAAGGAGAGAATAGAGGGAGGTGCCACACACTTTAAAATGACCAGATCTCATGAGAAGTCACAATCATGAAGACAGCATCAAGCCATGAGGGATCATCTCCCATGACCCAAACACCTCCTACCATGCCTTACCTCCAGCACTGGAGGTTATCATTCAACATGACATTTGGGTAGTTAAAATATCCAAACTATATCAATGACTTAGTGATCAATGAATATTCTCAAGTTTACCAACCACTCAAAATAAATATATCACTGTGCCCTCATATTTGCAATGCCACACACCAACACAACCACTATTCCTACAGATAAAACTGCAGGAAACCATTCTTGCTGGACATGGTTACTAATGCTTGTAATTCTGGTACTTTGAGAGACCAAGGCTGGAGGACTGTCTGAGACCAGGAGTTTGAGACCAGCCTGGTCAACAAAATGAGACCACGTACACACACACACACACACACACACACACACACACACACACACACATTAAAATAAAAATTAGCTGAGTGAGGTGGCACTTGCCTGTAGTCCTACTTACTCAGGAGGCAAAGGCAAGAGGATCACTTGAGCCCATGAGTTTGAGGTTATAGTGAGGCATGATCACACATATACATGCCACCCTGGTGCCAGGGTGAGAACCTGTCTCTTAAAAAGAAAAAAAAAAAACCCAGAAACATTCTGACTTTTATTATCACAACTGAATGAAATCAAAACTTTGTAGTTTCCCAAAATGTGCAAAATTCTTTTGCTAGGGTCTAAATGCATCCCTTAAAATTCATATGTTAAAACTTAATTGTCAATGTAATATTACTAAAAAGCAAAACCTTTAGAAGGTGATTAAATAATGGAGTGCTCATGAAGGGAACTAGTAGTGTTTTGAAACCTAATAAAGAAATTAGAGGGAACTGGCGAGGCATTTTTTTCCCTTAGACCTTAAGCCATGTGAGGACACAGTTCAAGTCTCCATATTGGAAGCAGAGTCTGAATCTTCACAAGATGAATCTTGCGAGTGCCTTGATCTTGGACTTCCAGTATCCAGAACTTTGAGAAATAAATTATATTATTTATAAATTACCTAGTCTGTGGTATTTTGTTTTAGCAGCACCAGAGGACTGAGACACACTTTTTTCTTCTCAGATTTATTTTAGATAAAGGAGAACATGCACAGGATTGTTACCTGGGTATATTGCATGATGGCATGATGCTGAGGTTTGGATTGTCAATGATTTTGTCACCCAGATACTTAGCATATTGCCCAACAATTAGTTTTCTAATCCTTGTCCCTCCTCCCATCTAATAGTTCCATGTATCTATTGTTGCAATTTTTATGTCCATGACTACCCAATGTTTAGCTCCCAGTTATAACTGAGAACATGCAGTATTTGATTTTCTGTCCTTGCATTAATTTGCTTAGAATAATGGCCTCCAGCTGCATTCATTTTGCTACAAAGAACATGATTTTATTCTTTTCATGGCTACATAATATTCCACGGTACATATGTAGTACATTTTTTTAATCCAATTCACCACTGATGGCCACCTAGGTTGATTCCATGTCTTTGCTATTGTGAATAGTACTGTGATGACATGTGAATGTGTGTCTTTTTGGGAGAAAAATTTGTTTTTTAGGAGGTATATAATGATTAATGGGATTGCTGAGTCAAAAGATAGTTATGTTTAAAGTTTTTAAAGAAATCTCCAGATTGCTTTTCACAGTGGCTGGACTAATTTACATTCCCAACAACAGCGAATGAGCAGTCCCTTTTCTCCAGAGCCTCAATATCATGGGTTGTTTTTTGACTTTTAAATAATAGCCATTATGATGGTGTGAGATCATATGTCTTTGTGGTTTATTTTTTATTTTTGTGGGTGCATAATAGGTGTATATATTTATGGATTATATGAGATATTTTAATACAGACATGCGATTTATAATGAACATATCAGAGTAAATAGCGTATTCATAGCCTCCAGCATTTATTTTTTGTATTACAAGCAATCCAATTATACTATTTTAGTTACCTTTAAATGTACAATTAAATTATTATTAAATTATTATTGACAATAGTCATCCTCTTTTGTTATCAAACACTAGATCATGTTTATTCTATTTTTTGTACTAATTAACCAGCCCCGCTTCCCCTCACCCCACCCCCCATGCCCACTAGGTTTCCTAGCTTCTGATAACCACTTCTCTACTCTCTATCTCCATAAATTCAATTGTTTTAATTTTTTGCTCCCACAAAACAATGAAACATGCAAACTTTGTATTTCTGTGCCTGGCTTATTTATTTTACTTAACATAATGACCTCCAGCTCCATCCATGTTGTTGCAAATGACAGGATCTCACTTTTTATAGCTAAATAGTACTCCATTGTGTATATGTACCACATTTTCGTCATTCATTCATCTGTTGATGGACACTTAGGTTGCTTCCAAATCTTAGATATTGTGAAGAGTGTTGCAATAAATATCAGAGTGCAGATATCTCTTTGATATCCTGATTTCTTTCTTTTGGTTATGTACCTAAAAGTGGTATTATTTCATTGTATGGCAGCTCTAATTTTTGTTTTTTGTGGAAACTTCAAACTGTCCTCCATAGGGGTTGTGATATTTTACATTCTCTTTGATGGTGTATGAGGTTTCCCTTTTCTCCACATTCTTGCCAGCATTTGTTATTGTCTGACTTTTGGATAAAAGTCATTTTAACAAGGGTGAGATAATATCTAATTGCAGTTTTGATTTGCATTTCTCTTATAATCAATGATGTTGATCACCTTAATGTATACCTGTTCGCCATTTGTATGTCTACTTTTGAGAAACATCAACTCAGATCTTTTACCCATTTTTTAATCAGATTATTAGATTTTTTTCCTATAGAGTTGTCTGAGCTTCTTATATATTCTGGTTAAGAATCCCTTGTCAGATAGGCAGTTTACAAATATTTTCTCCCACTCTGTGGGTTGTCTCTTCACTTTGTTAATGGCTTTCTTTGCTGTGCAGAAGCTTTTTAACATGATGTAATGCCATTTGTCCATTTTTTACTTTGTTTGTGATTGCGGGGTATTACTTAAGAAATTTTTGCCCACTCCAATGCCCTCATGAATTTCTCCAAAGTTTTCTTTTAGTTGTTTCATAGTTTGAGATCTTAGATTTAAGTCTTTAACCCATTTTGATTTGATCTTTGTATCAAAGATCAAATGGTGAGAGATAGGAATCTAATTCCAATCTTCTGCATGTGGATCTCTAGTTTTCCCAGCACATTATTGAAGAGAATGTACTTTTTCCAATATACATAATTTTTGTCAAAAAAGTACAAAGATGCTTTTGACAAAGCATCCTTGTCAAAAATGAGTTCACAGTAGACATAAGGATTCATCTCTGGGTTCTCTGTTCTCTTCTTCTAATCCATGTGTGTTTCATGCCACAAACATGATGTTTTAATTACCATAGCTCTGTACTATAATTTGAAGTCGGATAATGTGATTCCTCCAGTTTTGTTTTATTTCCCTTAGGATATCTTTGGCTATTTGTGGTTCCATATACATTTTATAATTGTTTTATCTATTTCTGAGAATAATGTCATTGGTATTTTTATTGAGATTGCATTAAATCTATGGGTTGCTTTGGATAGTATGGACATTTTATTAAAAATATTAAGTCTTACAGTCCATTAACGTGGAATATCTTTCCATTTCTTTGTGACTTCTTCAATTTATCACATCAATATTTTATAGTTTTCATTGCGGAGATCTTTTACTCCTTTGCTTAAATAAATTCCTGGGTATTTTATTTTGTAGCTATCATATGGTATTATTTTCTTGATTTCTTTTTCTGATTGTTTGCTTTCAGCATATAGAAATGCTACTGATTTTTGTATGTTGATTTTGTATTCTGCAACTGTACTGAATTTATTTATTAGTTCTAATAGTTCTCTTGTGGATTCTTTAGGTTTTTCCAGATATAAGATTATATCATCTGCAAACAAGGATAATTAGACTTCTTCTCCAATTCGGTTTATATCTTTATATAATGCCCTTTATATCTTTCTATTGTCTGATTGC